>NC_000010.11:19100909-19252424 GCF_000001405.40 Homo sapiens | reverse complement strand
GTCTACTTAGGCATTGCGCCAAGTGATTCCACAGTTAACAGGAAGAAATAAATTCATCCCCATCCTTGACTATCTCACCATTTACGATAGAGAAGACTAAATGGTGGCCCTTGGGCTGGACCCAGTCCATAACAGTTTCGTTTAACTCCATGAGTGCTCTTGAGTCAGATTGGTTGCCAATATTTCAAAAGTAGGATATCTCACAAGAAGACATTGCTCCTCAGCTGCCGCAGACACTAGTCCTCCCTATTATGCACCCACACCAAGGTTGTCAGCTGCCATTCATTATTTTAAACTTCACCTACTTTATTAGTTCGTTTTCACATTGCTGTAAAGAACTATGTGAGACTGGGTAATCTATAAAGAAAAGAGGTTTCATTGACTCACAGTTCCACAGCCTGTACAGTAAGCATGGCTTGGGAGGCCTCAGGAAACTTACAATCATGGCAGAAGGCAAAGGGAAGCCAGCATTTCCTACATGGCTGGAGTAGGAGGAAGAGAATGAAGGGGAAAGGGGGAAAGTGCAACACACTTTTAAACAACCAGATCTCATGAGAACTCCCTCATCATCATGAAAACAGCAAGGGGAAATTCGCCCCTATGATCCAATCACTTTCACCAGTCCTGCCCCCAACACTGGGGATTACAAATCAACAAGAGATTTAAGTGGGGGACATAGAGTCAAACCATATCACCTACTTCTTTCAATTCATGTCCCATGTCTGGTTCCCATAGTTATTTGGGTTTGCCATTCCTTGCACAGTTCAAATCAGAAAGCATGAAGGGCCTGATATTTTACCCTACTTGGAAGCTAATGAGTAAATTTGCCACTATTTCATATATATACACTGATATAAAACACTAGATCCCTGATACAGAAAGACAGGAAAAAGCAACAGCCAGAGAAGTACCTTCCATTTCCACAGGGCAATATGAGGAGGCAGGGATGTTTACCTGCATGTCAGACAGTCACACCATAGGAGAGGAATACAAAATGAGGAGACTCTAGCTGGAATAGGCTGCTGGCATGTCTGCCCATTCTCCCCTCCAGAGAAAGAGAGGTGGCAAGAAGAGCTTATTTTTACTCTGGAATGTAAGCAAATGTCTCAAGGTAAAGACCATTTAAATACGCCCTTTGCTCAAAGGCTGAACTGTGCCTAACAGAAGAAATCCATGGAGAATTATCTCCAAACAGGGCACTTGGATGGTGCTACATGGTTGAAATATTTCATTTGTGGAAGCATTACGATCCCTTAATTCTTTTCTAATGTATCTGCACACTGGAATGGTTAAATCAACTCAGCCTCCCCTCCCTTTATAAAATGTCTCATTTCATACTCTTCTGAAGGAAGGAGTCTCATTTGTTAGAGTCCTCCAGATTCAACTACCCACCTGCCGCTTGCCCACAAAGCCTTTTCCCATCAAGGCCTCTGCTGTGTTGAGGGCAGAGAGTAAATAATAATAATAATATTAAAAGAGAAATCAAAAAAGATGTAAGAAATTGGGCCATTCAAAACCTCAGACATGTTTTTTTACTTACAGAGAATTCTTTCTGCTAATCTTGTTGAGTGAAAGAGAATACACACATTGAGAGAGAGAGAGAGGCAGAGAGACGGAGGATGTGGGGAGCTGATCTTTACTTTGGAATCTAAACAAATGTCTTACACATATCATCACACACATCATCTCTAAGTACTCAACTCATATGAGATTAACTTGCTTTTTGCGGTTTTTAAAGGATTCACAAACCACAAAGTTCATTTCAGTTCCATTTTCCTCTGTATGTTTTTAGATGCACAAAAAAAGGGCCAAAATTGGGGCACATTTGTGTTTTTGCCTCTGATATATAACAATACCTTCCTGAAACCTGCCTAAGTAAATTTTAAAAAGAATCAGTGTTGATCATCTTGAAATTAGTTTGCTACTTGAAACTCTGCACACTCACATGCTATTTTAAAATACCCTCTGAGAACCCATATACCCTGTAACCCACTTCGCATCTCATATATTATGTGAATGAGGAGAAATTATTCCCAGTTTTTCCAAATCCTAAAAATTATATGGAACCTATTTTACTAAAGGTTACAATGAATGATTTAATTGAAAAAAGTCTGGTTGATATTTTAGAAAAAAGTGAAGAAGGTTCAGAGCTATTGATTAAAATTTTCAGTAAATTGTGTTTTTATTATTTAAAAATGAGATAATAAGGTATAATAAGATTTTAACAGAACACAATGCACTACTGTCCGATCAATAGGCTCACACATGCCAAAATTAAATTCTTATTTAGGAAGCATAGTTTTAAAATTCTTAAATGTCATTTTTTTTCCCATCAGACTAATTTTATCTTCCATACCATTAAAGGTAATATTTAAGGAAAGGAGTTGAACTCTAATTTATTATTTTAATATACAAGTCTTTCTACAAAAAATCATCATATGCCTTTCATTCTCTTTGTAAAAGGAGACACCAAATCCCAAATTTCCCCCATTTTTATGTTTCTATGTAGCAACTTAACACTGATGTAGACCTAAAGCAGAAATAAAAAAAAATGATCGATTTAAACTCGACTTAAACCTTAACTAACCCATATTTGTCTTTTGTTCTAGCTCAATGTCCCACATACCCACCCATTAGTTATTGTGAATTAGAAATTGTATCTGAAGTTCCAGGTTAGATGTTACTTTCTCAGAGAAGCCTTCCTTGACCACTCAAGCTAAGGCTATTTTCTTTTTATTTTTACAAACTTCTTATTGTTTAGAATCATATAAGTATTTGTGCATTTAATGTTCGTCTTCTCTATGAGACTTTAAGGACAACCTCCAGGAGGGACACTGAAGGACACAAGCGCTGCAAACACAGCATCCAGCACAGTAACTAGCACATTATAAGCTCTTAATGTATTTTAAGAAAAAATGAAACTTCCCCTTTCAACTAAAACTGTTGGTGTTACACTTGGTGCCATGCTATATCCCATCTGTTTTACATGACATATAATTATCAAAAAAAAAACATGTGCCAAAGATACTGATTACGCTAATATTTCACACTACTATCTAAACTGCTGACAAATCCTGCATCCTTTTACTTTGAAACCGTGTCTTTCTCTTCCTTACATGGCCTAGTTCCTGGATTCCAATTCGATTTCTACCTACATTTATACAGTTTTGCCATGACTGTCCTCCTTTTTCCATTCCCCAACTTATGCCTGCATTTCCAAGTCCTTTCCTTCAATCTTCGGTTATTTATCAAGCATCACTTTCTATCTGGAGTAATATCAATTTCATTTGTTAGATGAATTAAAAGAAATATATAAACACACATACACACATATATGTGTATGTGCATATATATATGTGCACAGAGACATATACACACATATGTGTATGTTTTAATTTATATTATATATCATATAAATATATTTAATATAAATATATAACATATATTTATATTACAAAATATATAATATATAATTTATATTATAAATATATAATATAAATTAAAACATATACACATATGATATACACGTATATCATATATGTTATATATCTGTATAATAGCTATTAGTTGTGGCCAGTCTTACAACATATTTTTTAAAATCTATCATTTTAATACTAAATGGGTCCATAGAGAACATTTAGAATCTAAAATTCTTAGTTTAGATTTGAATAAATGAGACCCACACAATTTAAATAACTCATCCATAGGCCCATAGAAAGACCATTGGTTAAATGATGTCCAAACAGTCAAAGAGTCTAATTCCTGACTGGTTTAAAAAGTCCAAATGCTTCAAATTTTTACTTTCACCTTCTCTTTTACTAGGCTTCTTGCTTTTTTTGACTGATCACGTAGTCACTAATAGGTGTCAAATGACAGAGGAAGCTATACAAATAATACAAAACCAATTTAAACAGTTATTTATATTTAAAAAACTATTAATTCTTACTATAAAATTGTAACATCTACCAAGTGGTTAGCACTATACTAATAATATAACATTTTCTACATGTGTCACACTTTATTTTTTTTTTTTCATGGCACCTTAATATTCATTATGTAACTGACTTTGGACCCTTACAAGAGGAACAAGTTCTGTAATAATAAATGTTTTCCCAAAATAAACACTTTTTTCAATTTAGATTTTAAAATCTCATTTTAGTGAAAATAATACCTGCTTTTGAAACTGTTAGATTAAATTAAATTTGGCCTAAAGCTTCCTCCATAGTTATTATGTAGTACTTTGAATCCCTACATAGCAAACAGCAACCTTAGTATGTAAACAACCTGCAATCTAAGAGTATACTCTTGTAACCGACTGTCTGCCAATCACAGCAGCCAAACTTCAGCACAAATGATTAAACCATGTTCATTTAAAGCAAAGGCCTTAGCACACCATGCTCAAATAAGGCAAATGCTGAGCTCTAACCAATCAAGCTGTTTCTGTATGTCACTTCCTTTTTCTGTCTACAAATACTGCCTGCCCATGTTACTGGGTGGAGCTCTCTGAACTTCTCCTGGTTCTGAGTGCTGCCCAATTCGTGAATCTTTCCTTGCTCAATTAAATTATGTTAAATTTAACGTCGGTTAAGTTTTTATTTTAACAAAATTAATGCTGTTAATAACATTTTGTTCTTTAAAAGTTATAGTATTTCATTTGAAATGTAACTTTAAAGTTTTTATTGTCAAGTTCCTGTCCACTTTGTAATTGCTCTTCAAATTTGACTTCCTTGAAAATAAAAATATAATGTTAATGTTATCTTTTTTATTATTTACATGTGGAAATGCTTTGGTGTCACTTAAGCCTCTGATTCCCAAAATGGTATTTGAGGGTATGTTGAACATTAAATGTGACATAATGTGCACATTATAATGTAGTTCGGGGGTGGGGGAATTTAGTTCATCAAAATCTATAATTTAACATACGTTTCTCCTTACAATAAGGCATTAGCCTTATTGTAAACAGACCTTAAGGTCTGTTTTACTCTAGAAATCTAGAGTAAAATCTCTTTGGTGGTTTATACCTTCAGAAGCCCTTGCAACCCAAGTTATCCTTGAATATTTAAGAGATATTTCATTACTTATGTGATTTCTTAATGTGATGAATGTTGAGAATATTTTTAATGAAGTAATTTAATTTTTGAACATGTTGAGGGTCATTAATTTCTTAAGGCTTTTTGTTTTTGTATTTCTTTTTCAGTTTGTGAAGATGTGGCAGTAGTACAACCAACAAGCCCTTTGGCTTTTCTATTTAAAAAAACTCCATTTGCAAGAACTTTCTGGATCTTCAGTTCATGAGATCCTAGGCACTATGTAGACTAGCTGTGCAAATCAACTATTTTTGATTATATGTTTCGTCAAAGTTTTGCTAAACATCTTTCATCATAATTTCACTAAACCAGGTGGCAGCCTTTCTCATTATACACATTTGTATAATGGGATTTTTGATGGCAGTAAGTCATACAACTAAAGAAAAAAGAAACACACTCTTGTATAGAGCCACACATTCATATTAAGCTAAGTGATAGAGAGCATCCCTTTATATCAAACTGATGAAATTGTCCATTAATGCTTTTCCCAAACTCATCAAGCATCATATTTTTGTACATATAGAAATAAAAATTAAGTATTCAATTCTGACAAATTAGTATACTACTTTCCCTGAAAACTGGGAATTACTTATCAAAACCATTCTCACTGCATTATCTGGCAGCTCAACAGGATGGACTTTTATCTCAGTTATGCCTGGGGTAAATATTCAAGCAATCACCTCAGCTTCATCTGTCACAAGATAAGCCTGAGTTCTATTTTTTGTTCTTGTACTCTGATGTCCAGCCACTGCCCCAGGCTCCTATTTAAGAGGATGAGTTTGTCTCAAGCAGTGCCTCAAATCAGAAATCCCTTTAAAGCATTAGGTCAGAAATTCCAGATCAAATTACATCCAGGCTTTTTCCCCTTCATGCCCAGGCATTTTACAGCAGAAGAAAATAAGCACTAGCGCCTCATGCCAGCCTCTTATGGTGTCTCCCCCTCTGGGTATATTCAGCTTGTGTCTGGTCTTCAGTGACCTGGACAGTATCCCCAGAAAGTAACCATAAAACAAAATGCCAGTTACTTAATACAAAATGAAAATATAACTCTACATGTGTCTGAATATTTATGCTAGCTGGTTATCAAAATATGGTTATCAGGAAAGGAAATCTACTTGAACAAAATGAAGGATAGAAGTGTTTGCTAAGCAGATAAAGTAGAGGGAGAGAGGTCTGGAATATTCTATTGAGATAGTATCAGCAAACTAATATAGTCAGTTGTCTACCAACTAGAAAGGGATACTGTATTGACACCACAGAACTAAAAGCACAGATAAAATCTTCACCATTAACAAAAGCTCTTATTAACTGTTTAACACATCATCGTTTTTTATAATTCAGCTACCTTCCACTGACTGCATTTAAGTTAGCATCTTTGTAATGAAATTTAAAGAGAGAATATAGGGTCCTTGATGCTATTTAGGAGATAAGCTAGAATGAATTGTCACATTTACAACTCATCTCAAGAAATTTTTAAAATATATTGTGACATTCAATAGCATGGCACTTACTTTACATATCATTTAATCTAATGTTTCCCCAATTTGTCTTTCTTACCATCAGAATCACTAACAGCTTTTGCTAAAAATACAGATTCCTAGGATTCTCCTCTGGAGCTTTTGATATTGGTGTTTGTAGGGAAGACTTTAGGTTTTTCTGATAATTAGGAAAATTTAAGAGCTACTAATCTAATCTAAGTTCTGTGTTAAAAAGGACAAGTGGATTCCCAGGGATATCAAGTCCTTTGCCTGATAACTGAGATATTTTATAATTTTTCACATACATGCAAATAAAAGTCCTAGGAATATAAATTACTTGACCTGGTAACTGAGATAAGAATGAATTATCAATTCCTCTTAAATCAAATTTCTATTCAACCATGCAATGTGGAGAGAATACAGTATGCATACATTTATTTATTTTATTGCTCAAAAGAAAATTTTTGCTATGTTTTCCCTAGTCTATTGAGGATTCAGTTTGTACCTTGTAGTCTCCTATAAAACCAGCTAAAGACTACACAAAAAAATCATTTGTAATTCAGATGAGCTCTCTATTTATTTCTACTACCTAAGAATCTATTCTGCTTTCTCCAGTAACTCACGTTACCTAGATTATAGTTAAAAATAATGCTGCATCTCATTGTGAACTCTCAGTGCATAAGCTCATGCGGAATCTAGGACTTCTTCAATGACAACATTTCAACATTGAAACAAAATTAATTCTAGTGCAGTCTGAAAGCCACTTAATACACAATTTATTTGTACCTGCTTTTCATCCCTTGGATTCTAAGAGGTATGCTCCAGCAATGATGCAAGCTCACTGACAGAGTTCATGAGTTACTGTAACGTAATTTAACGTCATCTAAGATACTATTGTGACTTCTCCTCTCTTGATGGTCTTAGTTCACTGGCCACCTACGGGAGGTGCAGAGAAGCAACCACCTGACAAGGACATCTGTATTTGCTCTTAATTTATACCCAAGGCTGGGATGTTTCATATGATAAAGAGACCAAATACAGAATTAGTCTATATTTGGTCTGGCAATTGATCTCTGCAATAATCAAACCTCAAAGACAATCAAACCTGAAATCTAAGCTACGTATTAAATAGCTTGGTTTTTAGGTTGCACGTTGCACGTTGCTGTGTATGCTGGCTTCATAGAAAATGCAAGTAGCAATGGCCATTTTTTAAAAGTCATTAGCCTTGGAGCTCTCCTAGTTTTGAATCACATAGAAATAGAAATCAAATCTCACTAGATTTTTTTTGTTTTTTTGAAACAGGGTCTGACTTCGTTGCCCAGGCTGAAGAGCAGGGCGTGATCATGGCTCACACCTCTGCCTCTCGGACTCAAGCCATCCTCCCACCTCAGCCTTGGAGTAGCTGGGACCACAGGCATGTGCCACCATATCCAGCTAATATTTTTATTTTTGTACAAATGGGGTTTGTCATCTTTCCCAGGCAGGTCTCAAACTCCAAGACTCAAGCAATCCACCTGCCTTGAATTCCCAAAGTACTGAGTTTACAGGTGACAGCCACTACGCCCAGCAACTAAACTTCTAAACATCAATTTTACATAAAATTATCTAAGCGTGCAAGGAAAGATAAGAAGCCTAAGGAACCAGTGAGTTGAAGAATAAATGCAGTTTAAATCATACATGTAAACAACATGATGTGATGTGGTAGGAATCATCTAACATGCTTTAAAGCATGAGTAAAAGGTCTTTTCTTAGAAAACTGGATCTTAGTTTCGGATATCTTTAGATAAGAGTATGAAAAGTCATATCATATTGATAATTAAAGTGCTTCCTTTGGCTAATTTCAAGGATAGGACATTTACTTTCATATAATTCATAGGAATCTTAGAGTTAAAAATAAAATTTCCCTTCTCAAATCCTTACTTTCATACTTTTTTTGCATTTCTTTCTCTTTTGTGTTAATGGCCTATGTCTCAACATATTCTATTAAGCCTTCTGGAAACACATACTTTGTTTTCAGCCTCTTCAGAGAACCATCACTCCACTTCCTAGGCTTCTGAAGAAGCAGACCCAAGCTTATGGTTATTACATATTTCTAAATCTAGGTGACCAAGAAAAATTGATACTTTTCCCATCATAACTTTAAGTTAATAATCAGGTGTATGCTGAGAGGTAAAGACCCAAGAGTGTTGGTTGTCTAATTGTGCAGCTGTATAAACAAATCTTAATGCTTGAAAATATTCAAAGGTTATTCTCACATTGATTGTTGGTAACTATGTGTAACAACATGAAAAGAAAAAAAAATCAAAGAATTACGTCTGAGGATAATACACAATCTCTAAGGGTAAGAAGAGCAACAAAAATTCTGCTTCAATTACTACTGAAATAATATATTTATCCTGTAAAATCTATGGTGGATGGTTGTAAAAATTAGGCATTAGCAAACTGATAAAGACTTTTTAATGAAAACATTATGAAACATAGTTTTTAAAAAGTTAAATACACCGACACCAGTTTTTCACATTCTTTGGGCTGCTTTAATGCTGCCATTAAATAATTGATTTAGTTGTGACATAGAACCTATGTTCCATGGAGTCTACCATTCATAAAGATGTAATGTAAGGTAACAAAAATATAAATTGTGTGTGTGGCGGGGGAGAAGTCAAGAGTATTTTTATGTGACAGAAGTTAAGTTGTTATCAGTTTAAAATAGTCTGTTACAAATACAGGACTCTGTATGTTAGTTTCACTAACCAGAAAGAAATAAATTACAGCGGATACACACACAAAAAAAAAAAAGGGAAAAGAAACAAAGCTTAGCACCACAGAAAACCACCAAACTAGAAAGATAAACAATAAGAAAGGAAGAAGTGAACAAGTAATCTAAAAAACAACTAATGAAATGGTAGAAGGAAGTCCTAATTTATCAATAATAAACTTGAATAGAAGTGGATTAAACTCTAATTAAAAGATATAAAGTGGATGAATGGATTCAGATAGCAAAACCCACCTATATGCTGCCTACATGATACTTACCTCACTATTAAAGACAAATAGACTGAAAGTGAAGAGATGGAAAAATATATTTTATGCAAACAAATGAAAAGCAAGCAGGAGTAGCCACAGTCATGTCATATTTTAAAAGGCTTTAAATAAAAAAACTATATAAAAAAAGAATGTCACTGTATAATGACAAAAGGCCCAATTCAATAAGAGGACATAACATATATATTACTTAGGTGTAACTATATACGTACCCAACACCAGAACAACCAGATATATAAAGCAAATATTAGATTTAAAGGTAGAGATAGACTGCAATACAATATTAGTAGGAAATTTCAACACTCCACTTTAAAAATGGACAGATTATCTGAAGAGAAAATCAACCAAAAAATGACAGACTCAAACTATACCATAGACCAAATGGACCTAGCAGGTAAAGAAGATCTCACCTGATATGGTTTGGCTGTATATCCCCACCCAAATCTCATCTTGATTATAGCTCCCATAATTCATACATGTTGTGGGAGGGAACCAGTGGGAGATAATTGAATCATGGGGGCGGTTTCCCCCATACTGTTCTTGTGGTAGTGAATACGTCTAACAAGATCTGATGGTTTTATAAGGGGGAACCCTTTCACTTGGTTCTCATTTCTATTTTGTTTGCTACCATGTAAGATGTGCCTTTCGCCTTCCATCACGATTGGGAGACCTCCCCAGCCAAGTGGAACTATGAGTCCACTAAACCTCTTTTTCTCTGTAAATTACCCAGTCTCAGGTATGTCTTTATCAGCAGTATGAAAACAGACTAATACATCATCCAACAGCTGCAGAATACAAATTATTCTCAACTGTACACCAAACATTCTCTAGGACCAATCATACATTATGACACATAATAAGTCTTAACAAACTTAAGAAGACAGATATCATATGAAGTATCTTTTCTGATTACAGTGACATAAAGCCAGAAATCAACAACAGGAAAGCCCTTGGAAATTTTATAAAAACATGGAAATTAAATAGCATGCACCCAAGAAATCAATGGGTCTCATTAAGATATTAACAGGAAAATTACAAAAGTCACTGAGACAAGTAAGAATGAAAATCCAACATACCCAAACCTATGGAACGTAGCAAAAGCAGTTCTAAGAGGGAAATTTATAGCAATAAAAGCCTACACCAAAAAAGAAGAAAGATTTTCAAATCACAAAGCAAAATTATACACTTCAAGTAACTAGAACATCAAAAACAAACTAATCCCAAAATTGGTAGAAGGAAGGAAATAATAAAGCTCACAGCAGATATAAATGAAACAGACACTAAAAAATATTTCAAAAGATAAATAAAACAAAGTGTAAAGGTAAAACTGACAAACCTTTAGCTAAACTAAGACAAAAAGAGAGAAAATTCAAATAAATAAAAGATGAAAAAGGAGACATTACAACTGATACACCACAGAAATATAAGGGATTGTAAGACATTACTCGTAACTATATGCCAACAAATTTGATAATGTAGAATAAAATGAATAAATTTCTGCACACATACAACTACCAAGATTAAATTGTGAGGAAATATAACATCTGAACACATCAATAATGAGTTTGGAAATTGAATCAATAATAAAACATCTTCCATCAAAACAACAACAACAACAACCAACACCCAGGACCTGATGTCTTCACTGCTGAATTCTACCAAACAGTTAAAGAATAACTACCAATTCTCCACAAACTTTTCCACAAAAGTAATGAGGAAGGAAGACTTCCATACTCATCTTATGAGGCTCGCAATATCTTGATTCTAAAACCAGACAAAGACACGCACAAAATGAAAATAACAGGCCAATATTCCTGAAGAACATAGATAAAAAAATTCTCAACAAGATACAAGTGAACTGACTTCGACAGCACACTAAAAAGATTATTCACTATAATCAAGTGGGATTCATCCCAGGGATGAAAGGATGGCTTAACATGCACAAATCAGTAAATATGATACACCACCACAATAGAAAGAAAAACAAAAACCATGTGATCATTTCAACAGATGCAAAAAGAACACTTGACAAAAGTCAACATTCCTTTATGATAAAAACTGTCAAGAAAGTAGGTATAGGAGTGTACCTCAATGCAGTAAAGGCCATATGTGACAAACCCACAGCTAACATCTTATTTATGGTGAATAGTTAAATGCTTTTCCTCTATGATATGGAGGAAGACAAGGATGTCAACTTCTACCACTTCTATTTAGCATAGTACTGGAGGTCAGAGCCAGAGCAATTAGACAAAAGAAATAAATAAGAGGGATCCAAACTGGAAAGAAGGAGGTCAGATTGTTTCTGTTTGTAGAAAATGTGATCTCACATACATATGTATACATCTATATATATGATCATATAGATATATATGATCTCTCTCTCTTTAAGGTTCTTTCTAGATATACTTATATAGAGTGAGAACCCTAAAGACTTGACCAAAAACTACTAGAAATAATAAATAAATTCAGTAAAGTTGTAGTATACAAAATCAACACAGAAAATTCAGTGGTGTTTCTATACACTAATAGTGAACTATCTGAAAAAGTCATCAAGAAAGGAATTCCATTTACAATAGCTACCAAGAAATCTGCAGATAAATTTAATCAAGGCCGTGAAAGATCTCTACAATGAAAACTATAACACACTGATGGAAAAATTTACGATACACAAAAAATGGACATTATATACTCATGGATTGGAAGAACTGATACTATTGAAATGACCATACTAACAAAATGTCCTACAGATTCAATGCAATCCCTATCAAAATACCAATGAAATTCTTCACAGAAACAGAAAAAAGTACCCTACAATTTGTATGAAACCAGAAAAGGCCCCAAATAACCAAAGCAATCCTGTGCAAAAATAACAAAGCTGGAGGCACCACACTACCTGACTTCAAAATATACTACAAAGCCATAGTAAGCAAAACAGCATGGCACTGCCATAAAGCAAACACATAGACCAATGGAACAGAATATACAGCTCAGAAATAAATTCTCATACCTAAAGTCAATTGATTTTCAAAAAAGGAGTCAAGAGCACACACAGGGGTAAAGACAGTCTCTTCATTAAATGGTACTGAGAAGATTGGATATCTACATGTGGGATAATGAAATTAGACCCCTATCTTTTACCTTATACAAAAATCAACTCAAATGTGATTAAAGACCTAAAGGTAAGATTGAAAACTACGAAAAACTACTAGGAGATAACATGTGGGAAATTCTCTATAACTTTGGGTTGTAAAAGAATTTTTTAAATGAGACGTCAAAAGCACAGGCAACAAAAGCAAAAATAGATAAATGGGGTTTCATCAAACTAAAATGCTTTTGCACAGCAAAGGAAACTTAACAGAGTGAAAAGACAACTTACAGAATGGGATACAATATTTGCAAACTATACATCTGCTAAGGAGTTAATGCCCACATTATATAAGAAACTTAAACAACTCAACAGCAAAAACACAAATAACTTATTTAAAAATGGGCAAAACTGGGAGGCTGAGGCGGGTGGATTGCCTGAGGTCAGGAGTTTGAGAACAGCCTGACCAATATGGTGAAATCATTTCTCTACTAAAAATACAAAAATTTAGCCAAACATGATGGCGTGTGCCTGTAACCCCAGCTACTCAGCAGGCTGAGGCAGGGGAATTGCTTGAACCAGGGAGATGGAGGTTGCCGTGAGCCCCGACTGCACCACTGCACTCCAGCTTGGGCAACAGAGCAAGACTCCTTCTCAAAAAAAAAAAAAGAAAAGGACAAAATAAACTAAAAGACATGCCACAAGAGAAAATATAGAAATGGTCAAGACGAATATATAATAAAATCATGTTCAACATCACTAACCATCAGGGAAATGCAAATCAAAACCACAATAAGATACCAGTTCACCCATTAGAATGGCTATTACCAAAAAGGTAAAAGACAACAAGAGTTGGCAAGGAAGTGGAGAAAAGGGAACACTTACACACTGTTGATGGGATTGTAAACTAGTACAACCATTAAGCAAAACTTTATGGAAGTTCGTTAAAAAATTTAAAAAAAAACAAAAAAAACAATCATTCGATCACATAACCCAGCAATCCCACTACTGGGTATATATCCATAGGAAATGAAATCATTGTGTTTGAAAAATATCTGCACTCTTATGTTTACTGTAGCACTATTTCTAATAATCAGATATGGAATCAACCTGTGTGTCTAAAAACAAACAAGTGAATTATATATATATAATATACATTATGTATATTATATATAATATACATTATATATTATATATAATGTATATTATATATAATATACATTATATATTATATTATATATTATATATAATGTATATTATATATTATATTATATATTATATATAATGTATATTATATATTATATATAATGTATATTATATATTATACATAATATATAACATATATAATATATTATGTATAATATATATTATGTATTATATATTATGTATAATATATTATGTATAATATACATTATGTATATTACATATTATATATAATATATATTATGTATATTACATATTATATATAATATATATTATGTATATTACATATTATATATAATATATATTATGTATATTACATATATATAATATATATTATGTATATTACATATTATATATAATATATATTATGTATTATTATGTATATTATATATTATATACATAATATATATTATGTATGTTATATATATTATATATATTATATATAATATATATAATATATAATATGTAACTATATAAAATTACATAGAATTATATATAACTGTATAAAATTACATATAATTATATATAACTGTATAAAATTACATATAATTATATATAACTGTATAAAATTACATATAATTTATATAACTGTATAAAATTACATATAATTATATATAACTATATAAAATTATTTATAATGTATATAACTATATAAAATTCTATATAATTATATATAACTATATAATTATATATAATTATAATTACATATAAAATTCTATATAATTATAATTATATATAAAATTATAAATAATTATGTTTTTATATATAATTATGGTTTTATATATAAATTATATATAATTATATATTTATATATAAATATATATATAATTATGTATTTATATATAAATTATATATAATTATATAATTTATATATAATTATAATAATTTATATATAATTATAATTATATAATTATATAATTATAATTATAATTATATAATTATATAATTATAATTATATATAATTTTATGTGTAATTATAATTATACATAAAATTATATATATATATATATATATATGGACACACACACAATGAAATACTATTCAGCCATAAAAAAAGAATGAAATTCTGCCAGTTGCAACAACATGGATGACCCTGTAGGATACAATGTTAAGTGAAATAAGCCAGACACAGAAAGCAAATACCGCATGATCTCTCTCATATGTGGAATCTTAAAAAAAAAATGTTAATAGAGAAGTAGAGTAGAATAGTGGTTACCAAACAGTGAGGAAGAAGTGGGGAGGGCAAAATGGAGGGAGACTGGTTAACAGTTATGAAATCACAATTATATAGGAAGAATAAGTTTTAGTGTTCTTTGCAAAGCAGGGTGACTATAGTTAAAAGTAAAGTATTGTATATTACAAAGTGTCTAGAAGAAAGGATTTTGAAATTTCTTATTAAAAAGAAATGATAAATGCATGAGGTAATTAATACACTAACTATCCTTATTGGATCATTATACAACATACATATTCATTGAAACATCAAATTGTATCCTATAAATCTATATAATTACAATGTGAAAATTTTTAAAAAATAAATTAATGAATTAAATAACAATTTTAAAATGTTCTCAACCACCAATGCAAAGTTTAGGAGCTTTGTTCTTGACTCAGCCTTAAGACTGAAAACTAATGTGTTAGAAATATTTGTAGATCCTCTCAATTTTGAAAGAATCCTAGCTATACTACTGAAATATAAAATATATTTTATGTAATATGCTCTTAGGTATATTCTTAGGTGAACTCTGCTTTTAGATGAAGCTTATAAAAATGAAAAACGTATCTGAAATAAAATTTTAAAGTATTTGGAAAATTACAGCTGAATCTATTAAAGACAAATTTTCTATACAGTAACCTTCCTTTTTATGTGCTTTTGAAATGGGATATACAATTATTTTCCCTGATGTGAAGCAAAATATAGAAAGTTGGCATTTTATCTAAGAAGTTAACTTAGGAAGTAAGAGTGAGAGGCAGAGGAATGAGGGAAGAAAGGAAGGCTGATAATGGGATACCTTATCAAGTTGCCTAATGCTGTATTGGAACCTAATAGGCCTTCTAAGGAGTTTTATTACATAATGCAAGACTCCTCAATCTGGGAGGAGGAAAGGGCTTTATTTTTGAGTGGTCACAGGTTGCCCCATGGGCATAAACTCTACCAAGCTTCTAGGTTACACCTACATGAGCATCCCACCTGCTTAAGTGAGAGCAGCCACAAACTGTGGGCCATTCCAGGTAAGTGTCATATCACACCTGCACCAACTAGTCAAAGCCTGGGTCAAAGCCTGTGCAGAACTGATTGCTACAGCAGAGGCTAAAATAAGAAATGGGGCTAAGAGAGTGAAAAGCAGTGCCCACATGTATCCAAAAACAGGTTGAAGATATCTTTAGGAAGGAACAGATAATTTTTTTTATTCATAAAATAACAGATGCATATGAACTCCTCGAGTAGTCACCCATTCCTGTCAGCCCTTGGGCTTCATAACTAAATCATTCTTCCTTTGTAATCCAGTCCCACATTTTCAGCTATCTCTATATGTTTATTATCTTAAATATTTCTTTGCTCTATACTCTTCCCCTAGTCTTCAACCAATTTCTTTCTTTATTGTCCCAACCCACAGACTGTTATTTCCACTTCGATGTCCCATAGAAGCTTCAAGGGTTTGAAATACCTTAAAAACAACTCATCTTTCCCCCTAAAACTCCCTCTCCTTCTCCCACTTCAAAATTTCAACTAATGGCTCCTCCTGTTATTCCCACCAGAATCCTGAATGATCCCTGTTTCTCCTCATTCACTCCATACATGTAAATCTCATTAACGTTACTTTCTAGATATTTCATGAATCCTTTCCATTCATTCTGTACTAGAAAGTGTTCCCAGTTTAGACCCTGGTGGTTGGTGGCCTCTTACCTAGGCGCTCTCTCTCTCTCTCTCTCTCTCTCTCTCTCTCTCTGTGGGTGTGGGTGTGGGTGTGTGTGTCCTGAGTATTTATTTACTTCTGGTTTTTGTTTGTTTTTTAGTATCCAGAATCTACAGGGAACTTAAATCAATTAGAAAAAAAAAATAACCCGATTAAAAAATGGGCAAAGGACATGAACAAACACTTCTCAAGAGAACACATACAAATGGCTAACAAATACACGAAAAAAAAATGCTTAGAATTACTAATCATCAGAAAAATGCAAATCAAAACACAATGAGATACCATTTCATACCGGTTGGAATGGCTATTATTAAAAAGTCAAAATACAACAGATGCCAGCAGGGCTGTAGACAAGAGGAAGTGTCTGTATATTTTTAGCTATAGCCCTACTTCAAACGTGTCCCCCTTACAGCCAAAAGAGCGGCCTATCTAAAGGACTGTTCTGATCAGCTCACTTACCTGACTGAAACCTTCAGTGACTCCCATGGCCTGCAGGTCAATGCACTAATTCATGACTATAACATCTGAGATATCCTTGATCTGGCTACTGGTCTAGCCCTCTCTGACTCACGCTTTATAAACCATGCATTCTGGAACTTTTTAGTTGTTTCCCACATCAGCATGCTACTTCCCATCCATGTAGATTTGCAGAGACCTCCTCATCTTTTTAATTCCCAGTTCCCACTCTCAACATGGGCCATCTCCTACCCACACTTCAAAACCTAAGCAAAACAACACCTTCCGTGACACCTCCATGCTGAGTCAGATGCCATCCCCTTTGTATTGTAGTTCTTTGCTTGTGTGCCTTTGTCTCACTTTGTTCTCTTTAAAATAAACTCCATGAGGACAATGATCACCTGCTATTTGTGTTAATATCTCCACCAAGTGGCATAGTGTCTGGAGTATAGTAGGATCTATTTTCAAGGAACAAAAGATTATATCTATACCAATAGACATGAATTAGCGCTTTTTTTTTAAAGATAAGCTCCCTTTGAACTAAGTCAATGTTTACAAGAAGAGTTATACTAAAAAGTTCACTTTTGCTGCTTAAGTTTCATTTATTTCAGGCAATTAATTCATTGTTATTGGTAAATCGATACTTTTTATTGATACTGAAAAGAGAGAAATAAACTAATGACTATCTCTATTAGAGTAGATTTGTTCATATCTATCAGGAAAATGTTAATTATCTGAAAGTCAATAATAAAACATAAACTGTGATCTTAAATGTTTTTTAGGGGCTCAAAAATAATTAGAATTCATGTCAGCATATAAAAAAAGATGAGAGTATTTTTAAGATATGATAAAATTTTATTTTAGTTTCTTAATAGGGATTTTTGTGACCTTATAGAGTTCAACTAATTATAATTTTTAAAATAGGATTTATAGAGTTTTAGAATTAGAAACAATTTATAGATTATTTTATTTTTCTTTTGAGGAATCAGGTCATCAGAAGATCAAGGAACACCTATAATGTCACTAGATCCTAATTTAATTTAAATTTTAGAATCCAGGTATTCTAACTCCTGTCTTGATACTATTTCTATTTTATTATGTTGCTTCCCAGGGCTTTAAAAAATAAAAGCTGGGAAATTACATTTGCTTTTCATATACAGCACCAATTATCAAATTCAGCATAAAAGCATAACATGTATATATCAAAAACAAAACATAAAAACTTCATATTAAAAGCATCTCAAAACAATTGAATATAATAGGGAAACCTTATACAAATGCAACACTCCCCCATTAAAAAAAAAGAAACCAATTGGAGAAAAAAGAAATTCAATATAAACATGTTGGAATATAACCTAATTCATTTTAATCCAGTGCTTCAAATTGAAACAAATTAGCACTAATGTTATTTTCCTTTATCATTACAATCTTGCTTTTCATTACATTATGCTATGCTTTGTATTAAACATAAAATCAATTTTTCACCTTAACACATGCTAGAAATACAGAGTCACCATGTTGGAAATCAGTAGAAAGTGTCTTTGTTTCTACTTTTTTTTTTCTTTGAAAAAGCTTTGGGAAAAAAAATCATTTACAATGTTTAATTTTAGTAACTTAAAGAATGTAATTGATTTTTGTTTGTTTGTTTTTGACATGGAGTTTCACTCTTGTCACTCAGGCTGGAGTACAATGGCATGATCTCGGCTCACTGTAACCCCCACCTCCCAGGTTCAAATGATTCTCCTGTCTCAGCCTCCCGAGTAGCTGGGATGACAGGCACTCGCCACCACACCTGGCTAATTTTTGTATTTTTAGTAGAGATGGGGTTTCATCATGTTGGCCAGGCTGTTCTCAAACTCCTGACCTCAGGCGATCCGCCCACCTCGGCCTCCCAAAGAGCTGGGACTACAGGCGTGAGCCACCGCGCCCAGCCAATTGAATAGTTTTTAACTCAGAGGATAAATGCTTGAGGGGATGGAAAGCCCATTCCTCATGACGTGATTATTTCACACTGCACGCCTGTAACAAAACATCTCATGTACCCCACAAATATATACACCTCCTATGTACCCACAAAAATTTTATAAAATAATGAAAATATTTTAAAACTAAAAAAAATTGTTTTTTAATTAAGCAACCTTATTTAAATAAAATCATTCTTCCTCATCCTCAGTCCTGGGATCTAGCAGAAAGAATTAGAAACATCTTAAAGATGACAAAGTGTTAAAGATAAGCTGCTATTAAGTAAAAGTGTGAAGTGTGGAGGGGACAAGCTGGATGCCTGAACCATTTTGTTCTATCTTTTAGGACAGTGAAAGAGCAAGAAGCAGGGTTGGGGTGGGGGACACATATTCTGTTGAGCATTGTCACCACTGTATTCACCGAAATTCATCTGCATGCTTGTATGTATACTTTTGATTTGCCTGATACACTGAAAATTATATGAAATTGTTCTCTATTCTTTAGGTAATTATAATCTAAGTGCTAATATGAATCTTAGAATTTATATGAAATATTTATGCCCACAACAAGACATTTCAGCTATTTCCTAGATAACAATCTCACTTCACCCTGCACAAAACAGGCACATGATCATGTCACTCTGACCTGGTTTGAGTCCAAGGAGACTTTTGCTTTTAAAATAATTTAGGTTAGTAGTTAAAATATGAACTTTGGGCCAGGAGTGGTGGCTCATGCCTATAATCCCAGCACTTCGGGAGGCTGAGGCGGGCGGATGACTTGAAGTCAGGAATTGGAGACTGGCCTTGCCCACATGCTGAAACCCCATCTCTACTAAAAAAAAAAAAAAAATACAAAAATTAGCTGGGTGTCGTGGCGGGCACCTATAATCCCAGCTACTTGGGAGACTGAGGCAGGAGAATTGCTTGAGCCTGGGAAGTGGAGGTTGCAGTGAGCAGAGATCTTACCACTACACTCCAAAACAAACAACAAACAAAAAAATTCTAGAGTCACACTGAAAATCTTAACAACCTGCTTCTACTACTCATTTTTTTTAATTTTTATTTTGACCTGATTTTAGACTGATAGTAAAATGCACAAATAACACAAAGTGCCCCCTATGTCCCTCACCCTACTTCCCCTAATACTAACGTTTTCAGAGCCATCCTTATTTTCTCTATAAAAGAGCAGAATTCTCCTTTTAGAGATTTGGAAAGATTATTAAAAGATAAGTTACAAAATACAGTACCTGACATGTATAAAATATTAAATAAATATTAGCCATGCTTAATTATTTTGTTTTAAGTCTATATGAGTCAAGTTTTAGTAGAAATATAGGCTAGAAAAAAAACAAAAACAGAAAGCGGGACTCGGTGATCCGACTTGGGCTTACAGAACAGACTGTACTAGTTTGTTCTCATGCTGCTAATAAAGTCATACCCAAGACTGGGTAATTTATAAAGGAAAGAGGTTTAATGAACTCACAGTTCCACATGGCTGGGGAGGCCTCACAGTCACGGCAGAAGGCAAAAAAGAAGCAAAGGCACATCTTAAATGGTAGCAGAGAAGAAAGCTTGTGTAGGGAAACTCCCATTTTAAAACCATCAGATCTCATGAGACTTATTCACTACCACGAGAACAGCAGGGGGAAACCGCCCCTATGATTCAATTATCTCCACCTGACTCCGTCCTTGACATGTGGGGATAATTACAATCAAGGTGAGATTCAGGCAGAGACACAGCCGAATCACATCAATGGCTAATGAGGGTTATGTCCAGAACCTAATGAAAACCTGTCTGAGGCCAGATTCCCTGTAAAGCAGATTTGAGATAGAGATTTGTGTAGAGAACATTTAACTGGGTAAAATCCTAGGAACCAACAACTGTGGGGAAAAAGCTGAATTGGATAAAGGGAGTTGAGATGTGAGGCAGTCACAACAAATACCTCAGCTAATCTCAAGGGGGAGCTGAGAAGCTGGGGTGACCCTTCAGAGTTGGCCTAAATTGAGGCAGGAGTATGGAGTTTTAATACCTTTCACTGGCCATTCTTCAGATACGAGTTGTCCCCAAGGATGGACATCAGCTTGACAAGTTATTAATTAGATCTCCTGAGAATAAATTCTAGAGAGAATCAGCTGAGAGGCATGATTTGCCAACACTCCCAATAGCTAGGCAAACTTCAGTTTTGAGGGAGGATTTGGGTCACACATAAAAGTCTCCACAACCAATTATTCATGGGAAATTCTATGTAGGCAGAGCTATTTCATGGCCAGTTAATCAAAACTACATAATCTATTTGGTTAAGCAAAAGAAATTAAAAAGATAAAATAAAATCTATATATTAACACTCAAAAGTTTTTAATGCATTTGCCTTGCATTTCATGTGTTTTGCCTTGCATTTGTTTATTTGCTTTTAAGAACCTTTAGAGAACGATAATTACTAATATAATATGGAGTAGCACAGCATAGAGGAGGGAAGCTAACTCTCTCCCTTTTCCCAGAACCTGGAACAGCTAAAGATCCTAAGCATTGTCAGCTTTGGTATCTGATATAGTTTGGATGTTTGTCCCCTTCAAATCTCATGTTAAAATGTGATCCCCAATGTTGGAGACAGATGCCTCCTGAATGGCTTGGTGCTGTCCTCTTGGTAATGAATGAGTTCTTACCCTGTGAGTTCATGTGATATCTGGTTGTTTAAAAGAGACTGACACCTCCTCCCTGTCTCTCTTGCTTCCTCTCTCACCATGTGATATGCTGGTTTCCCTTCACCTTCCACCATGATTGGAAGCTTCCTGAGGCCCCCCCTGGAAGCAGGTGCCAGTACTATGCTTCATGTACAGCCTGCAGAACAAGGAGCCAAATAAACCTCATTTCTTTATAAATTACCCAGCCTCAGGTATTTCTTTATAACAATGCAAATGGGCTAACAGAGTATCATTCATGGACAGTGTATTAGTTGATTTTCATGCTGCTGATGAAGACATACCCAAGACTGGGTAATTTATAAAGAAAAAGAGGTTTAATGAATTCACAGTTCCACATGGCTGAGGAGGCCTCACAATTATAGCAGAAGGCGAAAGGCACGTCTTACATGGCAGCAGGCAAACAGCAAATGAGAACCAAGTGAAAGGCGAAAGGGGTTTCGCCTTATAAAACCATCAGATCTCATGAGACTTATTCACTACCACTAGAACAGTATGGGGAAAACTGCCCCCATGATCCACTTACCTCTCACGAGGTCCCTCCCACAACATGTGAATTATGGGAGCTATAGTGCAAGATGAGATTTGGGTGGGGACACAGCCAAGCCATATCAGACAGTAATAACTTTCAATTAAATATAGCTAGGCTTTCTGTCAGTGGGTCACAGCAGTCTAGAGAATACATCAAAAAACTCTGGGAACAGCAGATATAGAGGTTACATCTAGAGATTTTGAACAAAGTTTAGTGCTACAATGCATTGGTGACCACAGACAAAAGGTGCCTGTTGTTGTTATAGTTTGTTTTCTGTCTTGTTTTTCATCATGGGAGGACAAAAAGAAAAAATGGGGGCAATGGTGAAGGGGAAATGAAAAAGACCTGCTTTTCTATGGGTGGAAGCGACTAAACGAGAGAATAAATTTGGATTACACAACAAATGCAAATCAAGTTAGAAGCATGAAAGGCATGATTAAGGCCATGGTTCTAATAGAGATCAGCCAGCGGAACCAGGAGCATGCCACACCCAGAGAGGCTGCAGAGCCATTGCCTTCTCTCCTGTCAATGCTAAATTAACGAAATGGAACTCACAGAAGCCTACGTAATCAAATATTGGTGGGACACAAGCAAATTCTGAAAAAGTTTCATTGATCAGTGATAATTTCTTTTGGTGTAAATATCTCCTCAAAACATTTCAGGAAAAAAAAATAAAGCTATAATTTTCCTCTAGAAATATTTAACTTCGTTATACTAGTTTACTTATTTTTTACCTAATACATTCTGATATATTGTTACGTAGGTTAAAGATGCTCGATTCATGCCACTGTGGAAACCACACATAATTTAGGCAATAATGCAAATTCTTTTCAAATTCTTTTATCAGTGTGTTCACTTTATTTTTATTTCAAACACAATACAAAATTACAGGATGCTATCAAAGTGATGCTACAAAACCCCAATAAAATTTTTTCAATTCTTCAAATCACACACTTACACACACACACACACACACACCACATGCATTCCCCATACAGGCCTTTTTTTGGGGGGGCTGAGTAAATAATTGCATTTTATTTTCAATTTTTCATTTTGAAATAATTAAAGACTTACCAAAAATGTTGCAAAACTACGTGCCTTTTTGAAGTAAAGTCTTCAAAAAGTTGTTTGGTATATCCTTTATAGTAAAAAAAGAAAACACGTGTATATTCTGTTGATTAAAAGCATGCTGAGATTTTTAGACATGTGATTTCATCAGAGACTCCAATATAGAGCATAGCTGTAACGACATCCTAAGAGTGTTCTAATTGAAATGTGTTGGAAGAAGGTTCTAATTTTTTTCAACCCTTCTCAAGTTGGCACTCAGCAGATTTCCACTCTATAAAAATAACTCCTGCTCTGCAACTAATGTTCACAGATAAGCTCCAAACATATTTACAGCTCCATTTAAGTATAATGTACACACAGTAAAATTCACCCTTTTAAATGTGCAATTTAATGGGTTATGGCAGATGAATATCATCATTTGACCACAATCATGATCAAGATACAGAAAATCTGCATCATCACAAAATGTTTTCTTTTGCTGTTTTGCATTTGATCTTTTCTCCATTCCTGAACACAGGCAACCACTAATCTGCTTCTGTTTCTACAGTTTGCATTTTCTAGAGTATCCTATTAGTGGAATGATACATTGGTGTCTTTCATGTCTAGCTTCTTTCACTGAGCATAATGCTTTTGATATTCACTTATATTGCTGTTGTATCAGTTTGCTCCTTTTTATTGTTGAGTGGTACTCCATATACAACTGGTTTATCCATTTACAAGTTGATGGACACATCTGCTATGAACTTCAAGGATGAGGCTTGGTACGGATATGTTTTTAATTATTCTGAGTCGCAGTGGAATTACTTGGCTATATGATCAGTACTAAGTTTAACATTAAAAGAAACTTCCAAACTGCTTTCCAAAATGTCTGTACCATTTTGAAGTCCCACTAGCCAGGTGTGAATAGCAATTCTTCACATCATGTGGTATGGTCAGTTCTGCCCGTGTCAGCCACTCCAGTGGGTGTACAGTGGTATCTCAATGTGGTTTTAACTTGCATTTCCCTGATGACATGTAATGTCAAGTATCTTTTCATTTGTGTATTAGATATCATCTCTTTTTAAATTAAAACATCTGTACAAATATTTGGCCCATTTAGGTCAAAATGTTATATTAAATGAGTTATCTGTGTTTTGTTATTTAGTTTTTTAGTTATGTGTACATTCTAGATGAAAGTTCTTTATCAGACATATTTAAAATTATTCTGTCCCAATCTGTGGTTTGCCTTTTCATTTTTTGATTCTGTGTTTTAAATTGCAAACGTTTTAATTTCATGAAGTCCAATTTACTATTTTTTCCATTTTCATCCATCCTTTTCTTATCTAAAAAATTTTTAGCTATAGTAAGATTATTAAAAATTTTTCCTATTCAGTAAGCTTTATACTTTTTATATTTACATTATCTATAAAATACATGTTGAGTTAATTTGAGGATATGGTGTGAGGTAATTCTGAAGTTCATATTCTCCATTTAATATCCAATTTTAATAGTACCATCTTTATAAAGACATTGATTTCCTTATTGAATTATTTCGGCAACTTTGGCCATGTAAGGCTGGATATATTTCTAAATTATTTACTCTGTTTCACTGATATATATGTCTTCTTCATGCCAGTAAGTTCACTGTACTGGTTAGTGTAGCTTTACAATATGTCTTGAAATTTGGAAAGTTTTCCAACTTTATTCTTTCTAAAACATGCTCTGGCTATTCTTGGACTTCCGCATTAAAAAAAAAAATTAGAATCAGCTTTGTAATTTCTCCAAAAAGGCCTATAGGTTTGATTGGGATTGTGCCAAATCTGGAGATCAGTTTCAGGGGAATTATCATCTAATAAGTATTACATATATATTTACCAATGAACTTCATACATATTTCTACCTATTCAATTTCTCGTATTAGTGATTTAGAAATTTTGGATTGGCATACCTTTTATTAAATTTATTCTGAATTATTTTATTATTTTTGAGGCTATTATAAGTTAAATTGCTTACATAATTTTATTTTCTAATTGGTGTTGATTGTGTATAGAAACACAATTGATTTTATTTATTGATCTTTCATCCTACAACTTTGTTAAATTCACTTCATACCTCTAGCACACTTCTGCAGATGCCTAAGGATTTTCTATGTATATGTTTACATCACATGAGAATATTATTTTTCTTTCTTCCCAACTTGGGTGTCACTTATTTCTTATTTTCTTTTCTTTTCTCTTTATTTCTTTCTTCTTTCTGTCCATTCCTCCTTCCCTCCCTTCTTTCTTTCTCCCTGTTTTAGAATCAGTTTTGTAATTTATCCAAAAGGACCTATAAGGTTTCATGGGAATTCCACTGAATCTAGAGATCAATATCAGGAGAATTATCATCTCATAAGTATTAAACACTTATCAATGAACTTGGTATATATTTCCACTTATTTAATATTGAATGCAATACTTTAAAGAACTAGGGAGAGAGGACATCATTGCATTTTTCATAATCTTATGTAGAAAGTATTAAGGCTTTCACCATTTTAAGTAAGATGTTTGCTATAGATTTTTTGTAAACACATAATCAGTTTGAAAATGTACTTTTCTATCCTCAGTTTGCTGGGAGTTTTTAATTTAAAAAATTTGCTACATTTTGTAAATTCCTTTTTTGCATCTATCGAGAGTGTCACGTGATTTTTCTTTTTTCTGTCAGCATGGTAGATTGTCAGTTGTTGAAACCAACTTGAGATAAATCCCACTTGGTTAAAACACATTATCATTTTTAAATATTCCTAGACTCAATTTGCTAATATTGTATTAAGAATGTTGCATCTAAGTTCATAATGGTTATCAGTCTGTCATTTTTGAGTTGTGATATCTGTATTTGTTTCTGATATTGAGAGAATCCACGTAAAACATCTACTTCTGTCATCAGTAATAATCTGACCAGGGATAACACCAACGGTTACAGAGGAAGCTGTCATTACCTGTGGCAGCAGAGATATCAGAGATTCCAAAAAGAAAAGCAAGGTTAAATTTTCAAATATAATCACATGAAATATCAGAAAGCCAGAGGATAGAAATATAGGAGAGCAAAATCTTAGAGGTCAAAACAAGTAGTTAAGTACTGCACATGATAATAAAAAGTAAAGTCTTTTCCTAAGGCAGAGCCTGGCTGCTGCCTAGCTTCTTTGACAATTCTTGGTAGGCTTTCATGGCTTTAGAAGGGCTTATACTTTAGGTGAAGTTATAGTCAGGGAAACGGTGGGTGTAGGTTGGCTCTGTAGAAATGAAGCATTACAGGAGCACTGCAGTTAGAAAGAAAATGATACTGATGATACTTCGGTCACACTAATAATACATGCTAATGATAATCATAGCAATATTGGTAATGACAGAAAAAATATATATATAACATTAACATGTTTCTATTTGCACATATACATATGTGAATAGAAACGTTGATTTAAAGACATGAAAGTATAGAAATAGCCTACACCTGATAAAGATATGCTCATACACAATAACAAACATCAGTATAAACAGAGGTTTTGATGTATCACAGAATTCTCCAATAGACCACAATTCTGACACTATGGGAAGTGTCATTTTCAGAACTTTTCTTTATCTCCATTATCTCCATTCTCTATTTCCAACATTCCTGGAGACTGAACTCAAGGATCAGTAAATATTCTCAACCTTAACCATAGCAGACTTCATTCATCCCATATACGCTTGTTGTTTTTCCCCATTGACAGAAGGCATTGTACCATAAAATATACAACATATCTCTGACACACCTGATGAAAACAAACAATGGGGAAAGATTTACTATTTAATAAATGGTGATGGGAAAACTGGCTAGCCATATGAAGAAAGCTGAAACTGGACCCCTTCCTTACACCTTATAAAATAATTAACTCAAGATGGATTAAAGACTTAAACATAAGATCTAAAACCATAAAAACTCTAGAAGAAAACCTAGCCAATACCATTCAGAACATAGGCAAAGGCAAAGACTTCATGACTAAAACACCAAAAGCAGTGGCAACAAAAGCCAAAATTGAGAAATGGGATCTAATTAAACTAAAGATAGCTTCTGCACAGCAAAAGACACTATCATCGGAGTGAACACACAACCTACAGAGTGGGAGAAAATTTTTGCAATCTATCCATCTAACAAAGGGCTAATATCCAGAATCTACAAGGAACTTAAACAAATTTACAAGAAAAAAACAACCCCATCAAAAAGTGGGAAAAGGATATGAACAGACACTTCTCAAAAGAAGACATTTATGCGGCCAATAAACATATGAAAAAAAGCTCATCATAGGCTGGGCGTGGTGGCTCACGCCTGTAATCCCATCACTTTGGGAGGCCAAGGCGAGTGGATCACAAGGTCAGGAGTTTGAGACTTGCCTGGCCAATATGGTGAAACTCTGTCTCTACCAAAAACACACAAAAAAACTTTAGCCAGGCGTGGTGGCATATACCTGTAATCCCAGCTACTCAAGAGGCTAAGGCAGGAGAATTGCTTGAACCCATTAGGTGGAGGTTGCAGTGAGCCGAAATTGTGCCACTGCACTCCACCCTGGGTGACAGAGTGAGGCTGTCTCGAAGAAAAAAAAAAAAAAAAAAGCTCATCATCCCTGGTCCAATGAGATACCATCTCGCGCCAGTTAGAATGGCAATCATTAAAAAGTCAGGAAACAACAGGTGCTAGAGAGGATGTGGAGAAATAGGAATGCTTTTACACTGTTGGTGGGAGTGTAAATAGTTCAACCATTGTGGAAGACAGTGTAGCAATTCCTCAAGGATCCAGAACTAGAAATACCATTTGACCTAACAATCTCATTACTAGGTACACATCCAAAGGATTATAAATCATTCTACTATAAAGACACATTCACACATATGTTTACTGCAGCACTATTCACAATAGAAAAGACTAGGAACCAACCCAAATGCCCATCAATGATAGACTGGATAAAGAATATGTGGCACATATACACCGTGGAATACTATGCAGCTATAAAAAAGGATGGATTCATGTCCTTTGCAGAGACATGGATGAAGCTGGAAACCATCATTCTCAGCAAACTAACACAAGAACAGAAAACCAAACACCACATGTTCTCACTCATAAGTGGGAGTTGAACAATGAGAACACATAGACACAGGGAGGGGAACATCACACACTGGGGCCTGTCAGTGGGTAGGAAGGAAAGAGGAGGGATAGCATTAGGAGAAATACTTAATGTGGATGACGGGTTGATGGGTGCAGCAAACCACGACAGCACATGTATACCTATTTCACAAAACTGCAAGTTCTGCATATGTATCCCAGAACTTAAAGTGTATGTATGTGCGTATATATATACACACAAATGTAAATGTAAATGTAAATAAATTGAAAATGGTAAAAATAGAAATATGTTTCCTACACAAATAGTGACATAATAAAGCAAGATAGAATGTATGTTTGAGTTAAAAAAAAAAATTGCTTAGAAGACTCCTTGAATTCCATTCCAAGGAACTAGTTTTCAAAAGTTTACAATCAGATTTCAGTTTGGAAAAAGGCAACAATGCTGTTTTGAAAATAATTTCTGAAAAGAGCTTCCCCAGCAGTTCCAAATGGCAGTCCTGATACAAGGAAGTAGGGGCAATTTTGTTACCACCAGGAACATTGAATTTCTTTTCAGACCTTGAAATTCTGGGAGGCCCTCGAATAATAATCAACTACAATATTTTATTTTACATAGAAATATCGTTTTAATGTTAATATAAAAGCTTGTATATGAACTAAAATTGTCAATATGCCACTTTTAAGAAAGAAGAATCCATTATGTCCCTAATCTATAGTGAGTTGATATGTTCCATAAGCAGTTCTGGAAGGAGGCTACACTTAGAGCATAAATAGGTATAGATCGCTTTGCTCTCACAGATAGCGACACAATATTTTCTGCTGAATGGGAAAAAGTTTGAAGGCATAAATCAAGATACAGCAATCATCTGACAAAGAATTACAAAGAGGCCCCACACCTTTTTCTTAGTGAACGCCATGTGACACATTGATTTTCCACTGAAGATAAAAGCCAAAATCATGTGTCATCAATATAAAGCAAGCAAAACTATTTGGTTCAATATGTTATGGTACTTAACAAAAAAAAACTTGCAGAGAAAAGACAAATCTAAAATGTTGCACATGATTCAAACAAGTCTGGATCAGAAGAGACATTTCAGAGGTCACTGCTAGAGAGTCAAGGACACATTAGAGAGAAATAAACTCCTGCTTTTTTGTTTATCTACTTACATACACAGATACTGTCTGATGAAGATGATTGATATCAGGTATGGTATTTGATGGTATAGTTATTTACAAAATAATTCATCCCTTATGATCTAATGCAATTTTCTTCGTATTACACGTGTATATTTAAATACTTCCTTGTGAAGTGGAGGCTAGCCAGGCTGCTGTTAGCATATCCAGTACATTTCTGCAAATTCCAAAATGGCAAATCCCACAGTTGAAATTTCAACCTCTCTAGCGTCCCTCGGCTGGAGAGCATAATCACGGCAAAAATCTGCAACATCAGAGGTGGCCGCCCCAGACACAAAGTCTATGTTTCTCATTCAATTCTACCAAATCTAGTCAACAGTCTGGGTGAGGGGGCTTGGCAGTATCTATGAGCAGAAAGCATTCAAATGGCTGGTATATGTGCTTCCAGGGGAACTAAGGGAAGAAAAGAGAGAGGGAGGGAGGGAACAAGAAGGAAACTCAAGGAGAGAGGAAGGGAAGGAGGCTGGCAAGAAGGGATGGAGGGAGCAAGGGAGGGAGGAATAAAGGAAGGAAGTTACACCAAGTTTCAAAACTGGCCACGGACTGAGAAGGATTCAGAGACAAACTGAATTGAAAGCATTTATGTTCACACTCGGTATTTTTCTTACCCATTCTTGCAAATTAGTAATTTAAAAAATTTCATTTCCACAAATCCACGTGTTTTCTTGTTCCTCTCTCTCCGCTCTTTTTCCTTCTTTCCTTCCTGCCTTTCTTCTTTCTTTTCAACGTAGGTTATATAAATGTGTGAGAGCTATCACTAGTCCACATTAATCATCAGGATTTTCCTGTATATTTCCAATTAAGATGACCCATAATAATATTCTACTGTAATTTTGGAGGGTCCAAAATACTAGATGGCATTTAGTGTTTTGGAAATCATGACAAGTCTAACAGGACTTTAATAAACCTATCAAGACATCTGATGTGTTTTCTTGCCCATACACTCTTTAATGAGGTCTGCTTGACCCTTTCTTCTTCCCTTCTCTAGTCATGGGTTCTTCACACTGAAAACTAAGCTTTGCATCAGTGTTTGACGAACAGGTGACATAATAAACTGCCGTTACATTTTAAATTCAGCTCAAGATGGTAGATGAGAAATCTAAGATTGTGAAGTGAGATTTAGCATGCTGTTCAGTATGCAACAAATCTGAGTGTTGCTCACACAGGATTCATACCAACAGGCTCCTTCCAAAACCTTTCAATGCAAATTCTAGCAAATGCACACTTGGAAGAAAAATGTTCCATGAAGTTGTATATGTAATTTATACTTTCAGCATTTATGTATATAATTTCAGGGGAAGTGGGATCAACTTAACATTATTAAACATAGTCCTACGATATTTACAACATAACTTCAGAAACATTTTATTACTAGAAGTATTAAAAAAATGATGTACCATTTAGGATTTAAGACACACCCCACAAATGAAAAAACAAATTAGATTATAAACAACATTTTTTAAAAAAATTATGCCATCTCTTTCACTACAAAATCCTCCTGGGGGAAAAATATCTTTTCCTTCATTATTAAAAGATGTTATCAGAGCACAGTGGAATTCTTTCAGATTTAGTCAGAAGGTTCTCTGGAGTTGAGAGATCTACTGGAGAATATTTTATTTGAAAGTCCATGTCCTTTCCTCAGGCCTACATCATATATAAATAAACATTTCAGAAAAGGGGCCATGTTAGGAGAAAGTGGGTTGAAGATTGTAAGACCTGTTTCCTGGGTGCCAAATAATTCACAAGTTGGAATAAGCTGGGTTTTTGTAACACTTCTCTATGACTGCCATTGATACTGAACTATGCCAAGGAACTAAGTCCTACCAAGGAAAAGCAGGAGGAAAACAGGTGTAAGAAAACATTTCCTGTCAGTGTGTCCAGAGATAGCATGAGTCAACAGCTGCTCCTCATGAAGCCATCGATTCGTTAACACTGGAGTATCTAGAACGCATCTGGGTCGAATTATTAAAAAGAAAGTTCTTCTCAAGCTAGTTGTAATGGTAGCTAATTTAAAAAATCAATGTTCTGCGATTCTGATAAAAACCTATGTGGTGAACCAACAATAAAGGCGGCTGAAGATATTGGTATGAAATAGTTATTTTTCTTTATATACCTGGACGTTCATGTAAGAAATTATACTTTTGGAAGGTCTGTAATATGCTCAGTGTATGAATCATTTTTAGAAGTTATTGTCAGAATTTTGCTTTAATAGTGCAATAAAGTGTGCATTCTCTCTCTCTCATTTTCATTCAACAGCCTCTACAAGTTGAGCCTGGCTCAAAGGTCTTTCCCTCTTGGAATATGACTCCTCCCCTGTCCCTCTACATAGGCTATTCTATAACAAATTATTTTGCTGTCTTGATTTTTCAGAGACCTCATGCTAGTAGTAGAGAGCCAGGAGAAAGTGAGATGTCCTATATAAAAGGCCTGCTAGAAAAAGAAATCAGCACTGAGTTCTAAGGATACTGAACAACTTTTTAAAAAATAAAGCAAGCCATATTAAACACATTAGTTACAACCAAATTAGATAAAACAATGAAAATTATCCAAGAAGAAAAAGTACATCAACTGTCTAGGTTTAAAATTGTTTAAGGCTGCCATCCAAGGACCATCTATGATAACAAATACAGTAGTCTGTATTGACACAAAGTTTTAGTGATAGATGTAATTACATTCTTCTGCTGGTGGTGTTCTAGAATAAATGGAATATCTGCTGATCAAATCTGAATGCATCCCATAATATTAGCATGTAGGATCCCAGATCTGCAGGCACTATCTCTTTCTCAGATCTACACTTTCAATATTATGTTAGTTAAAATGAGAAGTATGTTAGAAAATGTCTTTTAGAAAAGAAATATTGGCTGAGTATGGTGGCTCATGCCTGTAATCCCAACACTCTGGGAGGCCAAGGTGAGAAGATCTCTTGAGCTCAAGAATTTGAGACCAGCTTGGGCAACATATGTATAAAAAAATTTAAAAATTAGCCGGTGTGGTGGTGCACGCCTATAGGCGCAGCTACTTGGGAGGCTGAATCAAGAGCATCACTTGAGCTTGGGAGTTTGAGGTTGCAGTGAACTATGAACATGGCGCTGAACTCCAGTCTGGGCAACAGAGTGAGAACTTGTCTTCAAAAAAATAAAAAAGAAGAAAAAAATAGGAAATATTGTGTTCACATATGCTATGGTACTCTTTCTTATATAAACTATTTCTTTGCAGTATTCTAGAGGATTTAAGACAAATTTACCATTTAATAATTTAATATGGTATATTATTGCATTAGTATAGTATGTTTTTATATAATTAGTATAAGTGACCAGTGCTGCAACAACCACATTCCAGAAAGTATTGTGATCCTCCAAAATTACAATGTCTAAATGACATTATTCTCCTTCATGAGACCATTATACCTTAATTTTTCAGCACCATGAAAATCTACAAATGCCCTCTAAAATATATTTAGAAAACGTGGGAAAAAAATAGATACAGTTTCAGAAGATACATATATTTTGAAAATTAGCCTTTTTGGAATAAATTATTCTTTATGACATATAAATAAACACATTTTTCAGACTGGCGGGGTAACATTTGCATCAGTCAAAATAATTAGATTACTAAAACTTGTAATCTTATTAGAAAAATGGTTTATTCAGAGAATCATTGGAATTATTAGCCTTCAAGCTGCTATATAATGAATCTGATCAAAATAATTAAGATAATATGATTTCATTTTTCAGTATAATATCTCCTTAGTATTTTTGTTTCTTATTTAATATGTGATTATATTTACTTCTGTGAATAATATGGATGAAGATCATTACAGTGTCAAGATCACTGTGTTCAGAACACGGAAATCTCAAGTCTATTCTTTTTTCTTAAATACCTGTAAGACTTTAAAGAAGACAGAGTTTCTGGACTCTAATTTCTCTACCTGTAGAATAAATGGGTTAGACCAAATAACTCCTTTCTGCTTATAAATTTTCTAATTATATGACTGAGCTTACACCTGGAAAACAGTCTATCTCCTGTATAAATTAATGATAGAAATGAAAACCACCATGTTTCATGAAATTAACCACATAAATATTAACATCAACTGCTCAGAAGGACTTAAGTGCAAGTATCACAGGAATTCTGAAGCACAGAGAACTAAATATAAGAGATATAACACTCTTCGTATTTTCAAAGAAGATTTTAATAATATATGTAAACAGAGTAGCCTGTTCATAAGAAAAAAGAAAAGTGACGTCTTAGCATATTCAGGGTTCCACCAAAACTACTACTGGAATGTAAATCAAAGTAATATTCACCTGTCATAATTGGCGTGAATAACTTTAAGTAAAACACTTTTATTAGATACTAAATGTGAACAATAAGCCAAAACAGAGAAAATTAATAAATTGATCATTTATTGAAACTGAAATAAAAATATATAATTATTGAAGCCTCTTATATACATAAACCAATCATTGCTTAAATGAGCCGACATACTAGCTCCATAGTTTCATGTCACTAAGGAACTCTTTTGAACACAATAAAGAAACCAGAATTGAGCACAAAGAATGATGAACTGGGAAGTTCATGGCTTTCTATCTACTAATTAGGAGTACAATCATTCAGTCAAACAGCCACTCAACAAACATTTAGCATGCAGCTTCTGGATACCAGGTACTGGTGTAGGTGCTAGAGCAACAAGGAAATAGTCCCTGCATTCAGTGATCTCACAGGCAAGTAAACAAGTAAGTATAAAGACCGCATGATTGATTGGGAGCGGTGGCTCATGCCTGTAATCCCAGCACTTTGGGAGGCCAACGTGGGCAGATCACAAGGTCAAGAGATCGAGACCATCCTGGCCAACATAGCGAAATCCGTCTCTACTAAAAATACAAAAATTAGCTGGGCACGATGGTGCACGCCTGTAGTTACTTGGGAGGCTGAGGCAAGAGAATCAGTTGAACCTGGGAGGTGAAGGTTGCAGTGAGCTGAGATCGCACCACTGCACTCCAGCCTGGTGACAGAGTGAGACTCTGTCTCAAAAAAAAAAAAAAAAAAAGACTGCATGATAAATGTATATCTACAAAGGGCACAAAGGAATGAGCAGCTAATCCCCAAAGGCATATGGAGCAGTGAGTATAAGCTTCAGGAAAAGAAAGTGAAGTAAAAAACTAACCTGAATCTGAAAAAAATGAGTAGGTATTTTCCAAGCATGTTTCAGGGGAAAAGTGGCAGGATGCAGAAGTCTTCCCAAGTACAAAAAGAGAATGAACTCTGGACTACTGGCAATTTATGGCACACAGGAATCAGTAAATGTAGGGATGAGAGGCACACAGAAACATGGGCAAAAACAGGAATTTTGACTTTATTCCATAAATCATGGAAAGCCACCAATGGGTTTTAAGTAATAAAATACTAAGACCAGGTTTGCATTTTAGAAAGATCAATTTGATTTCAGTGAGGAGGTCCAAAAATGAGAGCAGCAAGGCCAGACAGAGGGTCCTACTGCAACTAGCTATGGTTGGAGATGCAGACCAAAACTAAGGTGAAATCATTTAGAAGAAAGAACGTGTATATAAGAGCCATTGGTTTGGCCTCTCCACATCATTTTTTTTAATTTTATTTTATTTTTATTTTTTTTTTTTTGAGACGGAGTCTCGCTCTGTCACCCAGGCTGGAGTGCAGTGGCGTGATCTTGGCTCACTGCAAGCTCTGCCTCCCGGGTTCACACTATTCTCCTGCCTCAGCCTCCCGAGTAGCTGGGACTACAGGCACGCACCACCACGCCCAGCTAATTTTTTCCATTTTTTAGTAGAGATGGGGTTTCACCGTGTTAGCCAGGATGGTCTCGATCTCCTGACCTCGTGATCCACCCACCTCGGCCTCCCAAAGTGCTGGGATTACAGGCGTGAGCCACCGCACCCAGCTGGCCTCTCCACATCTTTACTGTTATACTGATAACATGGGGATGAAAATAAATATTATTTGTATTTAAACTATTATTGTTATGTGAAAATTAAACAAATAACACACTATGATAACATCTGAGGTTCAAGAAATATTAAGTCTTGAAAATAGGAAAGATGAAAGGAAGGAAACAGGGAGTGGGGAGGAAAGTAGGAGAAAGGAGAGAATATGGGAATGAGAGAGGAGGAAAATAATAAGAAAGAAGTAGAAAGCTAGGTATAGTGGCTCATGCCTTAATCCCAGCGCTTTGGGAGGCCGAGTCAGGCAGATCACAAGGTCAGGAGTTCAAGACCAGCCTGGCCAATATGGTGAAACCTTGTCTCCACTAAAAATACAAAAATTAGCTGGGTGTGGTGGCAGGCACCTATAGTCCCAGCTACTCAGGAGGCTGAGGCAGGAGAATCACTTGACCTTGGGAGGCAGAGGTTGCAGTGAGCTGAGATCACACCACTGCACTCCAGCCTGGGTGACAGAGAAAGACGCTGTCTCAAAAAAAAAAAAAAAAGAAAGAAAGAAAGAAAGAAAGAAGTAGAAAAAGATATAGTATTACTTAATCAGCAGAAGCTACTCTTATTTTTCAATACTCTACCTTTCTAATGTATCACTGACAAGGAAAGGTCTTGAATAATTGACTGAAGTCAGAATAGGTAAGGCACTCTACCTGTGGATACATGAGAGGCCTTAAAAAGTTCATGGAAAATGTATATTATGAAAAAAAACTATGCAAAGGTTTCAATTTTGGCAGCAAAATAAAGTCATACTAATTTATGAGTTTTATTATTTATACTAAATTATGTATTTATACTAATTATTTATATAAATAAATATACTATTTATTTATACTAATTATACTAAATTATTTGTTTATACTAATTATTATTTATACTAAATTATTTATACTAATTTATTATAGCACGTCTGCACAGGATCTAGTTTGAGACAGTAAGAAGGAGTAGACATTAGTTTGAAAAGAGCCCCTAGCAGAGCAATGTAAATTCTGCTAAAATTGAAGCAAGAACAAACATTAGATTATGATGAAGCTTGGGTGAAAGAACGGTGAAATCACTGATGCTTTACAAGAAGTTTGGGGGGACAATGCACCAAAGAAATCAGTAGTTCACAAGTGGACAGCTTTTTTAAAGAAGAAACGAGATGATGTGGAAGATGACGTCCACAGGGACAGACCATCCATATCAATTTGCAAGGAAAAAAATTAACCTTGTTTGTGCCCTAATTGAAGAGGACTGATAATCAACAGCACAAACAATAGCCAACATCATAGACATCTTAATTGGTTCAGCTTACACAGTTCTGACTAAAAAATTAAAGTTGAACCAACTTTCCACTGCATGGGTGCCAGAAGTGTTGTGCCCAGATCAGCTGCAGACAAGAGGAGAGCTCTCAATGGAAATTTTAAAGAACTAGGGTCAAGATCCTGAAGGATTTCTTTGAAGAATTGTAACAGAAGATAAAACATGGCTTTCCCAGTATGATCCTGAGGGCAAAACACAATCAAAGCAATGGCTACCAAAAGGTGGAAGTGGTCCAGTCAAAGCAAAAGGGGATCACTCAAGAGCAAAGGTCATGGCAACAGTTTTTTGGGGACATTCCAGGCATTTTGCTTGTTGACTTTGTGGAAGGTCAAAGAACAATAATATCTGCATATCATGAGAGTGTTTTGAATAAGTTAGCCAAAGTTTTAGTGCAAAATACCTGGGAAAGCTTTAGCAGAGAGTCCTCTAACACCACAATGTTTCTGCTCATTCCTCTCATCAAGCAAAGGCAATTTTGTGAAAGTCTCAATGGGAAATTGTCAGGCATCCACCTTACAGCTCTGATTTGGCTCCTTCTGACTTCTTTTTGTTTCCCAATCTCAACAAGTGTGGAAAGGGCACCCATTTTTCTTAAGTTAATAATGTATAAGAGACTGCATTGACATTGTTAAGTTCCCAGGATCATCAGTTCTTTAGAGATGAAAACCGAAGATCACATTTTCAATGTTTACCCTTTAACTTCATTTTCCACAAACTTTCTGAAGTTTCTCCATACAAATGAGCACTTGCAAAATAAGCAGAGAGTCTCATTCAATGGACAGAAAGTTCTGTGCCATCTGAAAATTATCTTAAGCAAGTTCAATGTGTAGCAACAGACTGTATTGATAAATATCAGTTAGGTTGACTTCTGCAATGACCATGATGGAGTAACAAGAACTAGACTTTCTCTCCCTCCTGAAACAACCAAAAAAATGGCCAAAATGTATGCCACAAAAGTTTGCAAGACGCTGTAAAGTCAGTCTCAAACAAGGTGAGCCTATCAACTGCCCTAATTTATGCCTGGAGAAAGTTTTCCAGCCCAGTACTCCAGGAGAAGAGCCCAAGAGGAGCCCATTGTTCTCCCTGAGCTGAGGGGAAAGAGCTGAGAGTCCACAGAAACCATGTTGACATGAGCTCTCAGGACAAGGTTTCCGAGAAGAAGGAGCTGCACAGAAAGAGAACTCCAGAGCTCTGCAAAGGGTCCCCCTAAAGTACATAGCTAAGTAATTGTTAGGACAGGCATAGAGAAAAGTACCTATGGTTGGGGAAAGAACACCCAGATAAGATGAAAAGTAACAGTACACATGCTCACCAAGGTCCAGTAATAGTGCTTATTTTATCAGCCAAACCAGAAACACCTCAAGATTCCCAGGGATACCCAGAAGGATCTTGCCTCACTAATTGGGAGTGATTAGCTCTAAAATGAGAACTGGTCTGATCCCACCTAATGAATTTTTAAAGCAAGACCAAAAAGAGTCAAACTCTTTCCAACTAAACTTAAATACATACCAACACAAAGATCAAGAATATTTATATATACTTCCAGCACTCAATAAGATAAAAGTCACCATATCTGACATCCAGACACAATTTAGCAGAGACGCAACAGTAACAACAAAAGACAGAAGAACGTGGCTCATAATAAGGAGAAAAATCACTCAGTCAGAACCGATCCAGAGTAAATCAAGATGCCAGAGTTATCAGTTAAGAACATTAAAATGCTTATTGAAACAGTATTCTATATGTTCTAAAATACAGACATGCAAGATACACTAAAGGAGGCTGGGCGCAGTGGCTCACGCCTGTAATCTCAGCATTTTGCGAGGCCGAGGCAGGTGGATCACGAAGTCAGGAGTTCAAGACCAGCCTGACCAATATGGTGAAACCCCATCTCTACTAAAAATACAAAAATTAGCGGGGCATAGTAGCATGCGGCTGTAGTCCCAGCTACATGGTAGGCTGATAGCACATTAGTCATTAAAGAAGAAAAGATAGACACCTCTCAAAATAAAATATAGAGAGACAATAAATTTTTAAAAACATGAACAGAGCAATAGTAGACAGTAAATTTCAAGTAACTGAATTTATGTGTAATCTCAGTTCCCAAAGGAGAGGAGAGGGAAGATGTGAAAACATTTGGAACTCTGAGTAAGGCAAAGCTTTCTTTGATATGACCCCACAGCATGATTTATAAAATAATATATTGATAAGAAGAACTCATCAAATTTAAAAAAAAGAATCTGCTCTTCAAAAGAATCTATTAAGAGACTGAAAAGGCAAGCTGCAGGCTGGGAGAAAATATTTGCAATTCATATATCTGATAAAAGGCTTGCATCAAAAATATATTTTAAAAGCTCAAAATTTAATAATGAAAAACAAACAACCCCATTTAAAACTTGGGTGAAAGACTGGAACAGACATTTCAAAGTAGACATTTGTTTGGTAAATAAGCACATACGCTCAACATAATTAATGCTTAGGGCAATGCAAATTAAAACCAAAACGAGACGCCACTATCTATTTTTAAATAGCTAAGATTAGCGTGACTGATAATAGCCAAGCACTGGCTTGGATGTGGAGAAGCTGAAACTCTCATACACTGCTGATGGGAATAAAAAAATAGTGTAAACTTTGAAAAACAGTTTAAGAGTCCCTTAAAAAGTTAAACATACTTCTGCCGTAAGACTCAGCCATTGCACTCCTGGGTATTTACCCAAGAGAGATAAAAGTAGGTGTTCATATAATGATATCAACACAAATGTTCATAGCACATGTATTCATAATAGCCCAAACTAGAAACAGTCTAAATATCAATCAATACATTAATGAATTAACTTGCTTTATCCGAATTAATTATGGATACATACTATAACATGAATGAATCTCAAAATAATTATACTAAATGAAACAAGGCAGACTCTAGAGGTAAAACATGCAGAGAAAAAAACATAAAATGTCAGACAAAAAAGTGCATAGTGTAAAATTTTATTTATATACATTTTTTGACTGTATAAATTACCGTCCAGTGACAGAAAGCAGTTCGGTGGTTGTTAAGGGCCAGGAATGAGGGGCCAAAGAAATGTATTATAAAGAGGCATCAGGAAACTGGAGGTGAAGTATATTTCCATCACCTCGGTTGTGTGCTGATGGTTTCTAAACTTTCAATATTTTTAGTTTATTATATGTTATACAAAATAAAGCTTGTAATAAAAATCAAAAGATTGAACTGAAGTTTCATGTGTAATGATTTCCTGAGCCTTTACTGACCAAGGCACACATGAAAGCATTGGCTGATTATTTCAACTGACATTAACAAGTAAACTGGTTCCTGTATACTTACATGTACAATTTGTTCCTATCCTATTTCTTTCATTTTACATGAGTGATCGTGAAAAATCCCTGCATTTTTCTTTATGCAAACACAGAATGAGTACCTCCTATCTGCTGGTAATTCCATCTACCATATCACAGTTAATTAAAATGCTGGTTGTTATTGCTGCTGTTTCTCAGTAGAACAGAAACTATGTCCATCCATCATTTAATGGAGAAAAAAATATCCTGTTCCTTAAATCAGCATCTCACCCTGCCCAACCTTTTTTTTTTTTTTTTTTTTTTTTTTTTTTTTTTGTGAGGAGTCATGCTTTGTTGCCCAGGCTGGAGTACAGTAGCGCATCTCGGCTCACTGCAACTTCAGCCTCCTGGGTTCAAGCGATTATCCTGCCTCACCCTCCCAAGTAGCTGGGATTACAGGTGCGTGCCTGGCTAATTGTTTTCTATTTTTAGTAGAGATGAGGTTTTGCCTTGTTGCCCAGGCTGGTCTTGATCTCCTGACCTCAAGTAATCCTCCCGCCTCGGCCTCCCAGTCTTGGGATTACAGGTGTGAGCCCCCTTTCAGGCCCCATTTTTTACTCACTAGAATGACAAATCCACACAGCATGGAGGATCTCTGATTTCATCTTTTCGGGCCTGAATCTTATTATTATTATTTTTTTAGACTAAAAGGAGCCTTAGATAAAAATCAATCAGAACACTGCATTTGTAACCCAACATGGGTCTCAAACCTCAAGTTTCATGTTTGAGGTTCATGACGAAAGTGTTCCTTGGTTAGTCCCACGTCGATCTGGCTATGAAGCTGCTTCCCTGCAAAGTTGATTTTCTCCTGGAAACCAATCCTTGAGTAAATATCATAAGAAGGGCTTATCCACTACATACTAGCTTGAGGCAAATCATAATTGACCCAATGAGACGTTAAGAATTAATTTGAAGTGGATAAGCCATTATTACATAAAAGTCAAAGGACTTCCTTTCCATTTCATTCCATATGATTACATGTATCTTATGTTTGTGGGAGACCAGAACGATGCCACACTGATGGGGGATTCATTCTCACGCTTACACATACTTTACACTGTGGCGGAGCCAAACGATGCCACACTATAAATGGGGGATTCATTCTCATCCTTACATGTACCTTACGCTGTGGGAGAGCTGAACGATGCCACACTATAGATGGGGGATTCGTTCTCATGCTTTCGGTTTATATCTATCTGGACAAATCTCCCATTCCAATGTGTTCTTCACTGTACAATCTACATCTATGACTTAGAAGATTTCAAAAGGTGGCCTGGAGCTAAGTTTTTGGTTACAAAACTGTTAACTAGATTTAGACATTTAGATAGATATAGTGCTTTAAATTTGGGTAACTAAAGAAGTTGAGTACATGCAAAAAAAGTTTAGCCAGGGACAGGTAAGAAGTTTTTTTCCAGTATATTATGTGTAGATTAATTTGACTACAGGATGAAAGAACAAATATTCAAGCCCCCTGCATGTTATAGGCTCTATGATATGCTGGAAAGTAAATAAATGTTCATTAATCACAAACTGTGAGTTCTGGTCCAAATCCCAGTTCTGCTGCCCATAAGCTGTTTGGCCAGGGATAAACAGTCAGCACTCCAAGCTTTTTTCTTTGAATCTACAAAATTGGCTGAAAGGACTTCTGGCTTACCAAAATCAGGAAATTGCTGAGAGAATCAGATAGATAATATATAAAATTCCTTTACAAAACTGTTAACAGCCACATACGCATTTGAGCTTGCTAGAATAAGACTGACTTTTAGAAAACAGCAGGTGAAATCTGAAGTAAAGAATATTCCCCCAGGAGTAAGGAGAACTATATTCAAACTCTAGCTCTTCCTCAGAGGAACTGATTGTTGAATAAAGCCTGGATTTCTGTTACTTACCTATAAAATAATAAAAATAAAATGAAATAAGCAAAATCACAGATTTCAGTGTCTGTGCTCTTTGCAAAATATCAGAGATTGTGCAAAACTCTTCCCTCCACTTCCAGGTTGTTCATTTCAGTAAAGCAATTACTTGAAATTGGAAGGACCTGCAGCTGTTTCCAATGGCCACATGTTCATCTTCAGAAATTCTAATCTTACATCATTGGGGGTAGTCAAGGAGGAAACAATGTAAAGAGCTTTGATACACCCTCAAATAAATGATAAATGTGTCTCAATGTAACTTTGATCAAATTCCACTTGCTTTTAATTAGAGAATACAGCGATCTTTCATATTCCTTAGACATTCAGATGCATTTCAAATGTACATTATAAAATCTATTATCCATACCTGAAAGGGCTGCCTGCTGGAAATGTTGAGGTGTTTCCTAATCCATCTGTTGCCTTGATTCCCAAATATCTGCCACAGCAGCTGTCCCCTTGAGTCACTCCAGATTCGTTGGTAGATTGCCAACCTATAAATGCGCTTTCCAAACATGTGGTAATAGAAGCGGAAGGTGCAGCCTTTTGTATCAGTGGCATTAAGGATTGGGCTGAGTAAGGCAGCACTGTCTTGAAAAGCCTGTGGCTCTGAAGATTCTATGTAGAGATAGTGTCCTTTAGCTGTGCCCAGAGTGTTATCTTTCATTGGCCCTGTGTTAAGTGTTGGAGTTGGACCCTGGCTCCTGGTCCAATCAAAGTCATCTTTTGCATCTTGTTCCCAGTTACAGATTCCAGTTTCAAAGTTACACTGCAGCTCAGGTGCTGAAATTCACATGAAATAAAAGCAAAAGATAATTAGGGACAAAAATACATGCAACCACATTCTATTTATTAATATTTAAAGAATGCTAGTTGATACTTTGCTCATGCCAAGGTAAGCCATTTTATTTTTAAAATCCAACACTGAAGTGTTTTTTTTAAAAAAAGAGTTTTTGTTTCTAAATGATATATCAATTAATAATATTTTATGAACTAAAGATGGAATTGCTTTGGACACTTTTTTCCAAATATTTTTTATGCACATCTCTTCTCCATTTCTATGACCATAACTCCAGGCACATGATCAAGACCCCATGCCTGGCTCACTGTGAGAAACTTCTGGCTCAGTAGATTTCAACCTCAACTGAATGTTCCAATCACCAGGGAACATTAAAAAACAAACAAACACTGAAGCCCAGAATTCATCTCCAGAGGTGTTGATTTAATTGCTCCTAGTGGTAAAGCCACGCATCAGGATTTTTTCGAAGCTCCCTTGGTGATTCTAACAGGCAGGGCTGGGAACAATCATGTGTTAAGAATCACCTGGGGCTCACGGTAAAATTGCTGACTTCATAGCAAAACACTGAAACAGATACTAGCTTATTAGATATAGGGTGAAGCCCAGAAATCCACATTTTTAACAAGCACCCTGATGTAGATGTTTTCCTGACCTCATTCCCAAAATCTCTTGTCTTTGGTTCCATCCCGTCCCAGATCCTAGAGTCCCTACGCATCAGTGCCAAGGTAACAATCCTTCAATGGCAGTATTACCACTTCCTTCTCGAATCCAGATTCTTTCATGTATGCTCATAGAATCTATACCTAAATAAAAACTCCTCTTTCAAACTCCACTTCTCCCAAATTAAAATGACTGCCTCATCCCTACTATTCTTCCCCATAGCCTGCACCATCTTCCCCACATATTCTAAACACCCCACCACTTCCTCCACCTCTGTTTACCCTAATGTTAGGTATGTGCCTTGCCACTTTTTTTGCTGTGATTCATCAGTATGGGTCTTTTCTTCTCACTGGATTGTAGCTCCTTTGAGCTGCAACTTCCAACTTGCTTCAGTCCCTAGACCAATTCAGACTTAGGAAGAGTCTTACAGCAGTCTCGCCTTATCTGATGTTTTGCTTTTAGCAGTTACACTAACCCACAACCAACTGTGGTAAAAAAAAAAAAAAATGTGAAATGGAGAATTCCTGAAATAAGCAATTCATACATTTTGAGTTGCAGTTCATTCTGAGCAGCCTGATGAAATCTTGTACCATCACAAATAGTAGCTATCTCAGTTATCAGATCGATTGTAACAGGATCACAGTGCCTGTGTTTAAGTGTCACCCTTATTTTACTTAATAATGGCACCAAAGTGCAAGAGTTACGGTGCAGGCATATTGTTATAATTGTTCTATTTTGTTAGTAGTTGTTAATCTCTTACAATGCCTAATTTATAAATTAAACATTATCAGGCTGGGCGCAGTGGCTCACTCCTGTAATCCTAGCACTTTGGGAGGCCAAGGCGGGCAGATCACTCGAGGTCAGGAGTTCAAGACCAGCCCAACCAACATGCTGAAACCCATCTCTACTAAAAATACAAACAAATTATCCGGGAGTGGTGGCGGGCGCCTGCAATCTCAGCTACTCAGGAGGCTGAGGCAGGAGAATCGCTTGAACCCGGGAGGCAGAGGTTGCAGTGAGCAGAGATCCTGCCACTGTACTCCAGCCTAAGCAACAGAGGGAGACTCTTTCTAAAAAAATCAAACAAACAAACAAAAATCTTTATCATAGGTATGTATGTATAGGAAAAAACATAGTATATATAGGACTAGGTACTATTCTCAGTTTCAGGAATCCACTGGTGATCTCTGAAGCCCCCAGGTAAGGGGGAAGCCTACCATAGTCAATAATTGAAAACTCTATCTAAATTTCTAGGGTAATATAGGAACGTGTCAATTTTTCAAATGATATTCACTGTAGAATAAATGGTATAAAATGGGCATTTGACAGTCTTTGGAGGAAGGGGACAGATTTTAGAATTAACAAGTAGTTCTACATTTTAGCTTCATTTACATGTTAGTTTTTTTTAAATAAATGTCAACTGTCCTTTATTCATGTTAGTAATGACACTTGATGCCAAAAGTGAACAAATACTCTGAAACAATAAATAAAAGGGTATGTGAATAAATGCAGCCAGGCGAGAATAAATCATCTGTCTTGGAAAATCACAGAAGAGGAGCTTAGACCTAATGAAGGGAACCAAGTGAGTAAATGTCAAGTGGGAGATGAGCTTTCTTTTGATATTTCCTCACTTGTGACTAATCAAGACCAGCTGTGATGTGAACTTGGGGGGACACAGGGTACCCTCCAGATGTCAGTCTTTGGCTGTAGGGCAGAAGGTGAATGGCAAGTTGCTGCGTTTCTGACATAAAACTGACGCTAAAGCAAACACGTTTTTCTATTGTCTGTCTTGGTGCTGACTGCACACTCAAACTTCATTTCCAAAGGGAATACGCCTAGCTCCACCTTTCCATAAAAGACCGCATCTCTCAATATATTTCAGGAAATCCAACATGGATTTGTGGATCTGTAATGTACACTGTGTCATGAAGTAATATGCCTTGATGGAAAGCCGTGTGAGAAACCGACATTCTTTCACTAATCCATAATCGCAAGAAGTATTTTGATACTATAGTTGTACTCGCATTATCACATCCTACTAAGTGAACACAGGGAAGTCTGAGGGGCAATTTGCTTATTTTTAGCAGCACATTGACATTTTTTAATGAGTGGGATTCAGAGAGCTTGAAAAGATGAAAAGGCTTTCGAAATTTGCAAAAATGAATTGGCCTTAGGAAAAGTTACACTTCATAGGATAGTCATTGTCAAAATCACCATTTTAATTATACCCACTCAAATATTGGTGTGTAAATTTCATGAGATGCATGGTAATTCTGAGTTTAATAGGCCTGACTTTGATATGCCTTTGATAATATGTGTACCAAAGATTACACATAGGCAAAACTCTCTACGATGATGTATATGGAAATTTCTTAATGTTTTCTATGATGTAGTAAGCATTTTACATTTCTACTTTGGTCTGTAATTAGCATCTGTATTTCATGAACATAAATTTAATACATAAAAGAAATAATTTACTTATTAAATAAATTTAATAAATTGCATAATTTATAAAATAATTTTCATATATAAAATATAAATAATTTATAAAATAAATATAATATTCAACTATCTTCAATTTTAAAAATCATTGCTATTTCTGGATGAGGAATCTGAGTCCAAGGAAAGATGCAAACTTTTTCTTTTCTTGACAGGGTTTTGTAACTCAAAAAAAAAAAAAATCCTATTAACTTCTAACTTATTTTCCGCACTGTACCACTAAGTGCAGAGGGCAATTCTGGAGCTAGGTTCAAATTGTACTACTATGTACTACAAAGGCCTGCGAATCTGGCCTTCCCCACACCTTCATCCTTATTATATTTTGGGCCCTCTTTCCCCTTCATTCCTTGCTCCAGCCACACTGGCTATTTTCCATCTGCCTTGCAGCCACATCTCAGGGTTTTTAGATACATGGTTTGACTTGTGATTTTTTTAGATCTGATCTAAGTCCCAATGTCTAGAAAGTCCAATGCCACTATTATATAAGGTCACAGCACTCTTCTTCATCGCTCCTATCAAAGCTACCATTTCATTTTTCTTTATTAAATATTTAGATATTTGTCTTTCAGTAAGATTGTAAGCTCCGCAAGGGCAGGGACTCTGTAGTTGTATTTATCATTGTATCTCTAGTATTTGGTATCTAGTATCTAGTATCTAATAAATCCTCTTAAAAATACTGATGGCTTGACTAATTAACCACACATAACATTCATCAGCTTTGGAGCTATGCTTACTGTTATCGGTTTGATTGGCAAGACAAAAGTGAATTCATCAAGGTCAACACTTTCAAAATGAGAAAGAGAATCCCCCAACCAAAAAGAACTTACCACAGTTGACTTCATCAGTACGATCACCACAGTCATCCACCAGATCACATAACCGAAGCTTTTCTATGCAAGCCCTGGTGTGGCGACACCAGAAATGATCCAGCCCTTCACAGCTCTCAGCAGGAAGAGGGAGAGTACAATTTTCAAATCGGATGTCATCAATAGCTGAGACCCCATCATAAATGCCCAGACTGACTTTATCTAGTGACAAATGGAAGGGCTGCGAAAGGCGCCCTAGCTGAATGGTTGCCTCCAACCATTGTTTGCCCTGATTGTATAATACTCTCCAAATCACTGTTGAGTCATGAGAATTTTCCATATGTAGCTGCAGCTCAGCTGCTCCCACTGACAGGCCATAGTTATAGAACCTAAAAAAGAGTAAACGTAAGAAATGGAAGTGATTTATAGAATAGACTACATATTTAACCTTTAGATTTTTCTACTCAGTCAACAGTCAATTTTAATGAGTTATCATAAGACGCTTTTCTTTCCCGCAATAACTGTGGCTGTCCATTTGCAAGAGCTTATCTACTGAGGCACACACTCTGTGGTTCTCACAACACTGGGAACTTGTCTCAAGGAGCTCAGTACATAACAAGAGGAAGAAATCTTAATTAAATTATAATCCATGGTTGGGGGGAAAGAGCCCCTTTCATCTTAAGAAAGAAAACAACATATACTGAGAACACGCTCCTAGGTAAAATTAAAATCATATGAATTTAATGCAATACTATTTTTAGAGTAAAACCAGCAGTAAACCACAGAAATGAATAAGTGCAGAGGTATGCCTGCAAACACTTCACCACCAGGGTGAACTGTTTAATATTGTTTAAATATTTGTTTAATATTTACCAGAAGGAAAGTATGCATCCAGGTCCTGTCTGGCTGAAAGTTGGGCTCTGAAGCTTAGCAACTTGCCACAAGCTGCTGCTTTTCTTCAGAATGAACATAAAATGCCCTGTTGAGATAAAAAAAAAAAAAAAACGCTTCATTAACCTATTGGATTCTAAAATGAGACATCTGTCTCTTAACCCTACACTGAGCAAGATCATTGTCTAACTGAAATTAAAATTATACAATAATCAATCAGTGACTCTTAGTCAAATTTGTTCTGATAAATATTGAACCACTATCTACATCTCATGCTAAATGATACCAAAGACCATTGGTAATTTCAGCTAGTTCAGCCAAAAATATATCTATATGCTATCTGTACCACCCATAAAGGAATCAGTCCATGCAGACAGCATAACTGTAATTGACAATATTCAACTATCTGACTGTTTGTTGTAGTTATCACAGAACCGTACTAGCTTTCCTTTCTCTTCTGAAGTCTAACTAAACAGTAAATAGCAGTGGTTGTAGAGTCCCTGTTTGCTTCTTACCTTGAGATGCGTTGAGACTATGATCCCGAGGTGGAGCCTGGTGCTCAAAATCAGCAGAAAGTTCACTCTGAGAGCTCCGTATCCAGTCAAAATGGTCACCACTAATTGCTTCAAACCAATCACAGCTGTTTGCTTCAAAGTCACACTTGGAAACTGAAGAACAAAAATGTGGCTCTTATGTTGGCTCTCCAAACTGCTCCCACACTTTGAAAAGGCAGAGCTCAAATAGAATTCACCTTATTATGCTTCTGTATGCACATGAAGGGCAATGAGGGACACATTTCAGAAAATAAAAAAGATCCTTTCTCATTTGCAAAAATGGAGCTATGCTTTCCATACTGGAGATCGAGAAGGCAGAATTCTCAATTTAAGAAATACAATTTTTTTCCGAATATTCTGAGAAACAGCATCATTCAGCCTGATTGCTTATAGAATTGCCAAGGTATGCCTAATTCATTCTGATACTCATGTTAGTTTCCCTGCTACTGTTACATCAGCTGGGAGGCATCATTGTTCCTGCAGGGTATTTTATGTTAAATCATGAAAAGCTACTACTTCTAAACAATTTAATATGTGAAGAATCCCAGATACACTATATTTAATACAATGTGTACCCCAGATTTTCATAGAGCTTAATATTTCACAAAGTGTTATATGCATTGCCTAATTGGTGCAGAAAATAATTTGAACTATTTTTCAGATAAATACGCAGATAAATCAGTTAAATTCCACAGAGATATTTTGGAAGATGAAGAGGAAAAAAGGAAGAAGAGAAAGAAAAAGAAAGGGAAATCATAATGTTAGTAATGTAATAATACAGCTGATAGTTATAGAACACTTTATGTAATAGACCCTGTGTGGAATATATATATCTAACTTTCACAAACAGCCATATAGGAAGGTATTATTGTTGTTGTTATTTTACAAAAGAAGACAGAGAGGTTGAGAGAAGTTATTAATGTAACCAAGGTCAAATATTTAGGAAGTTGTAGGGTGGGAACGTAATCCAAATATTGTGACTCCTAGGCTAAGATTCTTTCCGCAACTGTTGACAATAAGTGTTAACTGTCATTAGATTGAAAAAAAAAGTAAAGCAAAAAGGTATAATCTGAATTTGCTTGGTGTGAACATTCAGCTGTTACTACACAGACCAACGCAAAATGAAGTTCATTTTCACTGATGATGATTACACTGAAATTCTTAGCCATTGGCTATTTTTATCAAGGAATATAGCAATAAAACGCATAGACACACCCTTGTAAAATAAATTAGGAAGTAAACAATGAGTTTAGGGAAAAAAGTGTAAACTAAATCACTAAATGAGATTACAAAATTTAAAATTATAAGGGCATTTTAATGTAATAATAAAATTATAGGGAATTTAACCTAATTGTAAGAGCATTTTAACCCAATGATAAAAATATCATTTTGAATCCTGAAAATGCCTCTTCTACAGGGAGAAGAATGTGAGGTAATAATATTACAAACAACTTATAAGTTTTTTATACTTTCTATGAAATATCTAATTTCAAAACCATATTTGCTTTCTATCAAATTTCCTGGCCCAAATTTGGCCAGCAGAGTAGTTCTGAATCTTATCAGAATCAGAGGGAATGTATAAATACATCTATATATCTAAAAATAAATACTTTAAAAATGTCACATCTACACTTAATATGCAAGAGATAGCTATACTTCAGTATATAAAGACAATTAGAAACAAGCGAAATGAAAGAAGCTTTACTATATTTAGAGTAAAGTTTTCTCAGTCGGGCGCCGTGGCTCACACCTGTAATTCCAATACTTTGGGAGGCCTAGGCAGTCTGATCACAAGGTCAAGAGATCGAGACCATCCTGGCCAATATGGTGAAACCCCGTCTCTACTAAAAATACAAAAATTAGCTGGGCAGGGTGGCATGCATCTGCAGTCCCAGCTACTCGGGAGGCTGAGGCAGGAGAATCGCTTGAATCTGGGAGGCTGAGGTTGCAGTGAGCTGAGATCCTGCCACTGCACTCCAGCCTGGGTGACAGAGTGAGACTCTGTCTCAAAAAAAAGATTTATCAAGTAAAGTTTAGAAATCTTCGGTAAAGCAAAATTATATACTGCTCAAAAATTAAAGATAATAACAGTAAATAATACAAGTTAGAAATAAAATGCAAAGGATATTTGTCTTCACAGGATTAAAAGCTATCTCCATAAGTACATAATATGCAAACAACACATAAATATACATAGAGTCCAGGGTTTTCAAAGTGTCTAGATGTCATTTCAATACCTGGGAAGCAAATGCTTTTGATTCTTATTTCAGACAATTCAGGGAACTGGATCTAGGAGTTATTGTTATGTAAATACGGGGAGAAAGCAGGTTATTATTAATGTATAATATCTATCTCCCATAGCTACCTGGAAGGGGAACCTTATTATCTGCTATCCAGGGAGATATTGCTATAGAAATAAGTGAATATTCGAATGGTAGTAAAATTTAAGAAATCATTGCAGTGACTTTGTAGTCCTCTTAGATAAGACTCTTCAAAGATAATGATTTTCAACAGATAATTATGCTGTTAAAATTCAGATGTGCTTTTCTAGTATTCTTTATTCCTATAGATTTAAAAACTCCCCTTGATTGATCATAAATGTAATAATCAATTAAATTAGTCTTCTAGTTAGCCATTAATTGAATATATAAATATATATGTGTATATGTCAACACACATGTATACATATATAAAATTTCTAAGTTAGAAAAGGAGAAATAGCCTGGATATGTTTTAAAAATTGAGATCCTAGGATTTTTCACTGTTTCTGAAGCATTATTGACTTTCTCAGTTATCATCAACGGAATCCTCATTTTTGCAATAATAATTGCAATTAGCATTTACTCTGGGTTTAGTGTATAGCAAGCTTTGTGCTAGGGGCTGTTACAGGCATAACAGGATGCCCATTGACACAAAATTTCTATTTAATAAAAATTATGCCTGTCTGTACTATGGCTATAGATTAAAAAGCTAATGATTCTACAGCAGCTTTTAGTTGCTGTGAGAAAAATTACCTAAATGGCTTCTATTAATTATGTAAATATCATCACAGCAGTTGCCCCTGGAGAAAAGGCGTCAGGGGATACTTGCTGGGTTGGCTCACAGGTCCATCCCTGTCATTTTTTTGAGCTCTTCATTGAGATAAAAGAAGACGAATTTATGTAGAAGCCAAAAAAAAAAAAAAAAAAAAAAAAAACCTCAAGCAGGGAGGGAGAAAAAAAAAGCCCAGAATCAGATTCTTTCTTATTTCAGATTCACTGTCTTAGAACTTCTCTGATGGTTCAGTATGATTCTACCGAGGTTTGTTGGTAAGGAATAAACATGAAGTGTACAAAAAAGAAGTCTGAAGTCTGAGCTGGTAATTTGGGCCTCACATAAGGATTTAAACATTCATAGGAGGAAATACCTCCTAACGCATCATGTGGTTGAACTTTGAACAGTTGAACTCCTTCTGGTATTAGCCACAGAGGCAAGATGCACATGTTGAGTGAGAAAAACAAAATAAAACAAAAACATAACAAAGGCTGAGCATGTGAGTAGTAATTTTAAAAAGTTAAAACCTAGAGCTGCCATTGTGACTTACAGAAAGACATGAACCAGAAAGAACATAAATGTAGAGTGAAAAACATCTGTTAATACATACATCATCTTATTTATTCCTCATGAAATATCAAAGAAAATATTATTGTCCCTGTTTTATTTTATTATTCTTTTTTGAGACAGTCTCACTCAGTCACCCAGGCTGGAGTGCAGTGACATGACCTCAGCTCATGGCAGCCTCAACCTCCCAGGCTCAGGCCGTTCTCCGACTCAGCCTCCTGAGTAGCTGGGAACACAGGTGCATGCCACCACAACTGGATAATTTTTTTAAAAAATTTTGTTGAGATGGGGTCTCCTCATGTTGCCCACGCTGGTCTGAGGCCTCAAGGGTCCTCCTGCCTTGGCCTCCCAAAGTTCAGGGATTACAAGTGGTAAGCCACAGTGCTTGGCCATGTCCCTATTTTATTTTATTTTATTTTATTTTATTTATTTATTTATTTGGAGACAGAGTCTTGCTCTATACCCCAGAATGGAGTGCAGTGGTGCGATCTCAGCTCACTGCAACCTCCACCTCCCGGGTTCAAGCAATTCTCATGCCTCAGCTTACTGAGTAGCTGGGATTACAGGTGCCTGCCACCATACCCAGCTACTGTTTGTATTTTTAGTAGAGATGGGGTTTTGCCATGTTGGCCAGGCTGGTTTTGAACTCCTGACCTCAAGTGATCCACCCGCCTGGGCCTCTCAAAGTACTGAGATTACAGGCGTGAGCCACTGCACCTGGCCCGTGTCCTTATTTTAGATATGAGAAATATGAGGTTGAAAGAGGAGTGACATGTAATTTTTCAGTGCTCATTATTATTGTCATGATTCTAACCCAAACCTGATGGCAAAGGCTATCCTCTTAAAAATTATACAGCTTCTATTAAGTTAAATCATTAATAATTGTAACAATTTTTAAACAGCTATTCTATACCAAGCATTATGCTATGTGTTTTTAATGGAAGATGATACAAAATCAAAACATGTATGACCACGGGACACATTCCGGAAATAGGTGTTACACCATACAATAATAATCGCTGTTAAGTCCACCACATTGACTCTTCTTGTTCCTTTAAAGATTTTTTTTTCCTCTAGATTTTGTGCCCCTGCTGAAAGTTGCATGAAGGAGGACAAAAGTTAATTGAGTATTCTAGTATGTTGGCTTAGGTTCATAGAGGTTGTCCTTTATTTGATTAAGCATTTGCTATAAACTCCAAATGCATGAATACTCTATTCTCTATTTTGGAACAGGTTCTGTAACGTTGTAATTCTTTTGAGTTTCAGGCTTTTCCATGCATTCTAATGGTTATGTGTTTGAAGTTATCATAAGGTTGAAGCAATTAAACTCTAGACTTCATCAATAGTTAATAGTCATTAATTATTTAAAATAAAATATACAATAGTAAGGGAATGTTTGCAAAAGTACCATAAAATTATTTTAAAGCTGTCTATATAAATGAATAGAAATAATTAACTCTTTTAAAAATGCCAATACATAAATAATGAAATCATTATTGTCTTTGGAATAAGAATAATTAATTACACTATTCTACCCATGGCTTAAAGGGTCTCCTGAGATCTAGACAATGTAGAGTTATTATTGGTAGACAATTCCTCATGGGTCTCTTATGCTTCTGCACAGGTTATGAGCAGGGCCGTTAACTGCCCCTTTGTTCCAGGCTATCCTTTCAAGGATATTTAAATAGTAGAGCTATGAAAGACAGATAGTGACTCCCTCTACAACAGAAGGCAAGTTATTATCCTGTAGAATAAAGATAATGTCTCCTTCTAAAGAAAAGGTCAGACAAGTTTATTTGCAGCCCATCATAAAAGATTTTAGTTCCATAAGTTTAGGCCTCTTTAGCGGTGATACAAGCCTGCTTCATGTGTACATCTATCTACCTGGGCACCTCTCTGTTGGTCCCTTTCTCAGGGGACATGGAGAGCAAGAAGAACCAATGCAAATATGTTGCTCACAACATTTGCTATACCATTAGTAATAAAGTCATCTGTCTGTGACACAGGAATCTCACCTCTTGTGTCAGCATCCATGAAACAATGGCAGGCTAACTTGTTTCCTTATCAGTCAGGTAAAATTTTAGATCCTTCACAATACTTGACGCTATATTAAATATCTATGTATACTACCACTTTGCAGTGAGCCGAGATCATGCCACTGCACTACAGCCTGGGCGACAGAGACTCCGTCTCAAAAAAAGAAAAAAAGAAAGCTTAGACTCTAGTGTGGGAAATTCATAAGCAAGTAAGCAATCATGAGAGTAAAAACCACTATGTGCTCATTCATTCATTATTCATTCATTCGACAAAAACTTAGCAAATACATGCTATATGTCTGCACAAGTATAAAGTCTAAGAGCACAGCAGGGAAAAGAAAGAAAACCTCTGTCCTCATGGATTTTACATATGAAAGCCAGGGGGGTGTGGACATTAGTGGAGATAACAATAAAAACACAAGATAAATAAGTAATGGTAAAAGGGCTAATAAAAAATAAAATAAGGAAGAATATTGAAAATGTTAGAGCAAAGGGCTGTAATTTTATCAATGATCAAGGAAGACTTTATAGAAAAGTTGGCAACTGGGTAAATGGCTGAAGGAGGTAGGTGAGGAAGCAAGTTGTGGAGCTATGCCGGTAAAGGACACCCACCACTGAGGGAATCACAGGGACAAAGCCTTGAGGCCATAGCATGCTTCTCATGTTTCAGATGTATTCAGAGACCAGGGTGTCACAAGGACAATGAGTGAGGGTAGAATAAGAAGATATTATATTAGACAGTCACTTCAATTTTTTTGGCTATGATTTTGAATGAGATGGGAACCAACTGGGATGTTTTAAGCAGAGATGTGACAACATCTGACTTTACTGAAGAGAGTGGAGGACAAAAAAGGAAGGGGAAGAATACTGCAAAAATCCAGACAAGAAATGAGAATTCGAGGTCAAGGTGTGATATGGTTTGGCTCTGTGTTCCCACCAAAATCTCATCTTGAATTGTAATTCTCACGTGTTGAGGGAGGGACCTGGGGGGACAAGATTGGATCATGGGGGTGATTTCCCCCATGCTGTTCTCGTTATAGTGAGTGAATTCTCATGAGAGCTGATGGTTTAAAAGTTGTGCTTCTCCTTTCATTCTCTCTCTCTCCTGCCACCATATAAGACGTGCCTTGCTTCCCCTTCACCTTCTGCCATGATTGTGAGTTTCCTGAGGCCTCCCAAGCCATGCAGAGCCGTGAGTCAATTAAACTTCTTTCCTTTATAAATTACCCAGCCTCAGGCCGTTCTTTAGAGCAGTGTGAAAACAGACTAATTCAGGGTGGTAGCAATGAAGAAAAAAATTAGCCATTGTGGAGATACTTTGAAAGCAGACATGACAGGATTAATTGATATCAAAGGTGTAGTATGAGAAAAACAGAAGTTAATGATTTCAAAGTCTTTAACCTAAGCATTTGGAACCATGGAGGTACCATTTATGAAGTGGGGAAGACTGTGGGGAGGCAGGTTTGGAGGTGGTTGAGGGAAACAGAATCTCAATTTTGGACATGTTGCACTTGCTGTTCCTATTAGGTATTCAAGTGATCATGTCAGGTCAAGAGCTGTATGTATGAATCCAGAGTTCACATGAGGAGGTTAGGCTGGAGATATAAATTAGAAAATTATCTAAGTGACAAAAAGAAGGCATAAAAATAGGAGAAAAAAAAAAAAAAAACAAAGAGTGGTGCCCCATGCCATGAGAGCCAAGTCAAGTTTAAGTATTTGAAGGAGGAGGGTGATACCATCTGTGTCAAATGAAGATTGAGAATAGGTCACTGGATCTAGGTCACTGGTAGCTTGGATAAGAACAGTTTCTGTTGAATGGTGACAGCCAGAGCCTCACTGGACTGAGTTAAAAAGAGATTCAGAAGAGAAAGTTTAAAGAAAGTGAATACAGTGAATTCTTTTGAGTAATATAAAAGAAAGGAGGAAAATGTAAAGGAAATGAGAGAAAAATGGTATGTTAGCAGGAAGGAGAAATTAGATCAAGAGAAGATATTTTTAAGATGTGAGAGGTAAAAACTTTTTTTTCTTTCTTATAGAAAAGACTGGTAGACAGAAGAACTTTCAGGAGTAATGCTGTTGAACAGGCAAATAGAGAGGGGTTCTACATAAAAGAAACACGGACAGTTTACTTCGGGTACAGGAGAAAAGACTGACTTTACAAGTGGGTAGAAGTGGTGCTGGAACTTCTAAAAGTTCTTTTCTGGTTGTTTCTATTTTTTCAGTGAAATAGTATGTCAGATCATCAGTTGAGGCTAGGAATAGGGAAGTGGAAGACAGATGTCAAAGAAGACGGAAGAAAAATGTGTTATTCATTGAGGAGGGCGGGGGAAGGAATGGACTGGGGAAATTGCATGTGCTTGCTGGGTAGCACCGAGAACACACTTTAGGGCAGCAATCCCCAATGTAAAGTGAGAACAGGTGTCACTGGGTTTTTGCTTGTTTGTTTGTTTTTGTTTTTCCATCTCTAGCCACATTCAGCTATGCTTTGTGGACTGGATGTGGAGTATAAGGAAAAGGGTGGAGTTAAAGATGAGTACAAAGTTTTTACCTGTAGCAACTGAAGAATGGTGTTGTCATTTCTAACCCCGGACATACTCTAAGACTGTGTTTGGAGGAAAGTCTCAGAAGCTTGCAGGTGGGTATGAAAAATTTAAGATCCCAATTAAACATCCAGGGGAAGATGTCTAATAGAGAGTTAGATCTGAGTCTGGAGTTCAAGGAAGAGGTTTAAACTAGAGATATAAATTTGGGAGACACGATCATATCAACGGCATTTAAAGCTGGAGACTAGATGAGTTTTCTACAGTAGTGAAGATAAAAGATCTAAGGTCTAGACGTCAGAGCCAGAAAGAAAAAGAAGCAAAGATGAGAAGGAACAATCAAGGAAGCTGAGGAAAACCTAGGGAATTTGCCATCTTGAAAGCCAAGTGAATAAAATGTTTTCAGGAAATGGAAAATGTGGTTACCTGCAAATATTGCTTTTAGTAATCCCCATTTATTTACAAGAGATATTTTCCAAGACCCCCTAGTAGATGGCTGAAGCTCTGGATTATCCTGAACACTATGTACGCTGCTTTTCTATCTGATAATCAAGTTGGCTAACAGGCAGTGGGGTCACAGACCGCCTGAATACACTGGACAAAAGGATGATTCCACATCCTGGGCAGGACAGATAAGGACAGCGTGAGATTTCATCACACTACTCAGAATGGAGTGCAATTTAAAACTTGTGAATGTATTTCTGGAATTTTCCATTTTATATTTTCAGACTGAGATTGACTGTGGAAGGCAAAACTGCAGATAAGGGTGGACTACTGTATAAATCAGGATGAGGGCTAAGAATTGACTTTTAGATGTAACAATATAAGGCCCTTGTGGGTCCTGATTACAGGGGAAAAAGCCTGAATGGAGAGAATTTAAGTAAATTTTGGAGGAGAGAATAACTTTTGACAACATCTTTCTAAGACTTTATCAAGGAAAACTGAGAAATGAGGTGGAAAGCTGTCATATAAAATGGGGTCAAGAGAATTGAACAGCATGTTTATTTAGGCTCATGGGGAAGACACAGCAGACAAGGAAAAAGTGGTGGGCTTTGCTGGAGAGACACCATTGAATAGTAAAGAAAGGATGGGATCTAGTTCACAAGCAGAAAGTATAGAAGTGTCCAGACAGCTCGTGTATGGTAATAGACTGACAGTGTCATTATGGAAATTGTATTTTAGAAACTGGGAATAATGAAGAAATCAAGGCTGCCTGAGTAGCACTAAAGACTGACAGTGAAAAAGAAGAGAACGTTTTGTTGTTACTGGATAAATGAGTCTCACCAGGAACTCTTGTAACTCGAGAGTCCTTAAAGAGGACTCAATAGGCTATGAAAAATATTACAAAAATACAATCAATAACTGTGTATTAATTCATACTAAATTTTTACAGTCTTACAAATAACCTACGTTTATTTTCTTTATGTTTATGTTTAAAAGTAAATATAACTTAGGCACATCAGGGTGTCTAAGGAGCACCCACAATTGCGTTTGAAACGTGAAATTGTATTAGTCAGCTCATGTTAATAACAGTACCCACTACTATGCTTATATTTATGAGAAGATTGTTAGTACTATGGTGATATGAGGTGGGTTGTTATTAGACAAATAATATAATTTTTTTAGATAATCACATTAACAGTATACTATAGTAATGTAGATGAACAAAATGTATGATTCGTAAAAGACCCTACTATTTTTTCTCTGGGGGTAGGCAGAAATCAGTGATGTATTTTTAAAATAATGTGATTTTTTTCTGTCATGTTAAATGTTTATTTATATTGTCTTTGCATTATATATATGTGTGTGTATATATATATATATTTTTTTTCCCCCAGACTAAGCTAATGATCTCAAATGTTTTATACTTCTTGACAAAAGCTCAATTACCTAAAGAGCCAAAATATGAATATTTTAAGCTAAAACTCAAGTTGCTTGCTTAAAATTCACAGGGAACTCTTATTACCCAAGATAACCTGCTCTCCAGGATATAAGGAATTATTTATATTAACGCTACTCATTTTTACAACCCAAATCAAGTGCAATTGCATTAATATTCCCATGTCTTGTAGCACAATTTAATAATTCCATTTTTCTTTTCTTTGTTTTTTTGAGATGGGGTCTCGCTGTGTTGCCCAGGCTGGATGCAGTGGCATGATCACGGCTCAATGCAGCCTCAACCTCCCAGGCTCAAGAGATCCTTTCATCTCAGCCTCTGAGTAGCTGGGACTACAGGCATGTGCCACCATGCCCAGCTAATTTTTGTATTTTTTGTAGAGATGAGGTTTTGCCATGTTGCCCAGACTGGTCTGGAACTCCTGGGCTTAAGCGATCCTCCTGCCTCAGCCTCTCAAAGTGCTGAGATTACAGGTGTGAGCCACTGAGCCTGGCTTGATAGTTCCATCTTATTTCATGACTATGTATGCCTGATGTTGTAAGTTATTTTATCACTACTTCCCATTCCCTCTTACAATTATATTGTTGATCGTTTGTTGAAATAATGTTGGCCTTCTTTCAGAACTCATTGTGGGGCATACAGTATTTCCAGGAACTGAAGAAATATTTGAAAAATCTGTCTAATAAATTTCAAAACTGAAAAGAATATAAAGCTATATTTCAAGGATCCCTGTGAGCACAAAAGAACAAATACAAAGAAAACCCACATAGGCACACCCTAGCCAAACTGCCAAAAATCTGTGCCAGAGAGAAAAATGTTAAAAGCAGCTGGAAAAAAAAAGCATAAATCACCTTCAAAGAATAATTATTAGACCTCTTTAATAGATGCAATAGAAACCAGAAGGAAAAGGAATGTTATCTTTAGAGTCTTGAAAGAAAGTAACTGCCAGTGCATTTGTTTTCTATTGATACCCAGGGCATTTGTTTTATTTTAGTTTCTATTAGTTTTCTCTTGCTATGTAACAAACAACCACAAACCTAGGGACTTGCAACACTCATTTATTATCTCTTAGTTTCTGTAGGTCAGATGTCTAGGATGACATGGCATGGCTGTCTGCTTAGGGTCTCATAAGGTAGTAATAAAAGTACAAGGTACGATGGCTCTATCTGGAGGCTGTGGGGGGAAATCTTCCTGGCTTATTCTCATTTAGATGGTTGGCAGAATTCAGTTTCTTGTGGCTGCAAGACTGAGATCCTTGTTTTATTTGCTGCCTGTCTGCTGAGGATTTCTTTCATCTCCTTAAGCCCACCTGTCATATCTTTTCATGTGGCTCCTTACATCTTTAAACCAGCAGTGGTATATCAAGCCCTCTTCTTATTTGCTTTTCCCCCTACTTTTTCTTTATTGTGATAAAATACACATAACATAAAATGTATTATTATCTAAACCATTTTAAGTGCACAACTTAGGAGTATTAAGTGCTTTCATATTGTTGCACAACCATCACCAACATCCATGTCCAAAACTCTTTTCATCTCGCAAAACTGACATCTGTACCCATTACACAAGAATTATCCACTCCTTTCTTCCCTCAGGCCCAGGAATCTACCATTCTACTTTCTGTCTCTAAGATTTAGGCTATTCACTATACCTCGGATAAGTCTAATCATATCATTACTTCTTTTTGTGACTGGCTTATTTCACTGAGCAGTATGTCCTCAAGTTTTTTTTTTATTTTATTTATTTTCATTTATTTACTTATCCCTTTGGACAGAGTTTTGCTCTATTGCCCAGGCTGGAGTGCAGTGGCACGAGCGATTTCAGCTCACTACAACCTCCGCTTCCCAGGTTCAAGCAATTCTCCTGCCTCAGCCTCCTGAGTAGCTGGGATTACAGATGCACACCACCACTCCCAGCTAATTTTTGTATTTTTAGTAGAGATGGGATTTCACCATGTTGGCCATGCTGGTCTCAAACTCCTGACCTCAGGTGATCCACCTACCTCAGCCTCCCAAAGTGCTAGGATTACAGGTGTGAGTAACCGCACCCGGCCATGTCCTCAAGTTTTATTCACTTTGTAGTGTATGTCAGAATTTCTTTCCTTGTTATGACTAAATAACATTCCATTGTATGCATTCACCACATTTTTCTGATCCACTCATCAGTCAATGAATAATTGGGTTACTTTCAGGTTTTAGCTATTGTGAATAATGCTTCTATGAACATGAGTGTGCAAATATCTCTTTGAGATCTTGCTTTTAATTATTTTGAGTATATACCCAAAACTGGAATTGCCGAAGCATATGGTAATTATATTTTTAATTTTTTTGAAGAATTGCTTTCCTCTTCCACAGTAGCTATGCCATTTTACATTCCCTAACAGTGCACAAGAGTTCTGATTCCCACATCCTCACCAACACTTGTTAACTTCTGGATTGGTTTTTTGTTTGGTTTTGTTTTTGGTTTTTATTATTTTTGGGTAGTAATCTAATGGATGCAAGGTGGTATCTCATTGTTTTGATTTGCATTTCCCTAATGTTGGTGATGTTGGACATCTTTTCACATGCTTATTGGAGAAATGTCCATTAAAATATTTTGTCTTCTTTGGAGAAATGTCCATTAAAATATTTTGTCTATTTTTGAATTGAGCTGTTGGTTTATTATTGAGTTTTAGAAGTTCTCTCCTATATTGTGGATATCAATCCCTTATCAGATATACAATTTGCAAAAAGTTTCTCCCCTTCTTGGGGTTGCCTTTTTACTCTGTTGATAGTGTTTTAGGATGCAAAAAATTTTAAAGCTCTCATAAAGTCCAATTTGTCTATTTTTTATTTTGTTGCCTGTGCCTTTGGTGTCATCCATTAAATCATTGACAGACACAGCATCATAAGGTTTCTGTCCTATATTTTCTTCTAAGAGTTTTATAGTTTTAGGTCTTATATTTAGTTTATGGATTGATTTTGAGTTACTTTTTGAATATGAAGTTAGGTAAGGGTCCAACTTCATACTTTCGCAAGTTGATATCTAGTTTTCCCAGCAGCATGTATTGAAAATACTGGATTTTACCAATTGAATGGTGTTGGTACCTTTGCCAAAAAAAAAAAAAAAAATCACTTGTTCATATATGTGAGGGTTTATTTCTGGACTCTGTAATCTATTCCACTGATCTATACATTGGTCTTTTTGGCAGTACCATACTGTTTTGTTTACTGTAGTTTTGTAATAAGTTTTGAAATCAGGGTGTGTGTGTCCTCCAACTTTGTTCCTCTTTTTCAGAATTATTTTGTCTATTTGGGGTTCTTTGAGATTCAATATGAACTTACTTTCTATTTCAGCTAAAAAATGTGATTGGTATTTTAACAGGGATTATATCGAATCTGTAGATCACTTTGAGTGATACTGACATCTTAAGAATATTACGTCTTCTGATCTATGAACATGGAATGTCTTTTCATTATCTATATTTTTAAAAATTTATTTCAGAAATGTTTTTTATTTTTTATTGTACAAGTCTTTCACCATCTTGATTAATTCCTAAAGACTTTTATTCTTTTTTCTGTTATTGCAAGAGAATTGGGTTTTTAATTTCCTTTTTGGATGGTTCATTGCTAATGTAAAGAAATGCAACCAATTTTTGTATTTTAACTTTACATTTTGTTGAATTCATGTTTTAGTTCTAACAGGGTTTTTTGTAGAACTTAAAGGGATATTTACATATAAAAATTCTTTGTTTCCAATTTGTATGACTTTTATTTCATTTTCTTTATTCCTATTATTTTCTTTTTTGTTATGTTTTAAATTAATTGCTTTTGCTAGTACTACGAATAGAAGTGGCAAACATGGATATGGATGGACATCCTTTCCTTATTCCTGATCTTAGAAGAAAAGCTTTTAGTCTTTCACCAATGAGTATAATGTAGCTGTGAGTTTTTCATACATGGCTTTTATTATGTTGAGGTGGTTTCCTTTTATTCCTGGTTTGTTGAGTATTTTTATCCTGAATTAAATATTGAATTGTATCAAATGTTTTTTTCTGCATCAATTGAGGTGATCACGTGTTTTTTTCTTTCCTTCGTTCTGTTAATGTGGTGCATTACATAGACAGATATTCCTAGGTTGAACCATTCCTGCATTCCAGGAAAAAAATCCCACTTGGTCATGTTGTATAATCTTTTTAATATGCTTCTGAAATAACTTTGCTAATATTTTGTTGAGGATTTTGCATAAACGATCATAAAGCATATAGGTTCATAGTTTTTTTTGCAGTCTCTTTGTCTGGCTTGAGTCTCAGGGTAATGCTGGCCTCATTGAATAAGTTAGAAAATATTCCTTGTCTTCAATTTTTTGGAAAAATTTGAGAGGATTGTTGTTAGTTCTTTTTTACATACTTGGCAAACTTCACCACTGACACTAATGGGACAGTTCCAGGGCTTTACTTTGTTAGCAGATCTTTTATTATTCATCAAATCTCTTTGCTAGTTGTAGGTCCATTCAGATTTTCTGTTTCTTTGTGCTTTAATCTTGGTAGGTTTTACATTTCTAGGAATCTGTTTATTATACTTAAGTTATCCAATTTTGTGGCATGTATTTGTATATGGTACTCTAATCTTATAATCTTTTTTATTTATGTAGAATTGAAAGCAATGTCCCCACTTTTATTTCTGATTATAGTAATTTGAATCTTCTCTCTCTCTTTGTCTCTCCCTCTCTCTGTCTCTCTCCCTTTCTCTCTCTCCCTAGGTCCATTTCGTTAAAGGTTTGTCAATTTTACCAATCTTTTTGAAGAACCAATGTTTGATTTCTTTGATTTGCTTTATTATCTTTATATTATTTATTCATTTCTATCAAAGCTTTTCACTTCTACCTGCCTTCAAAATAGATCCAGAATCTGCCCACTTCTGACCATCTCTACTGCTCTCACCCTACCTAGCTCAAGTCACCATCATTTCCTTATTCAGTCCTTGGAATACTCCCCAACTGCTCTTTCTGCTTCCATTTCTGACACTGGCCAACAGTTGGCAGTTTGCTGGTGATGTCTTCTAGACTTTGGTGTTGCTAGTACCTGAACTGACAATAACAGCTGAGCTGTAGTGATCTTCCGTTGAACATAAAGATTTGCACATATCAACAACATTAAACAAGGTAGCTCCGTAGACTGAGAAATAAAACCAGACAAAAAGAAGGCCACTCTATTCATTTCTGAACACAGACAAAAAAAGATCACAGTGTAAACTCGAAAGTCCTCAAATATTCATTCCCCTTTCCTGACTGACATGAGTATTGTATTTTAACCAATTATAACTTTAGTTCAATTTATCTCACCTCCTAAATAAAATTTGTTCAGATATACAATCACAGAATTATCCTATTTCTTGAAAACATCCAATCAAAAGAAAATTCTTGCTTCCTTGAGCCCTTCTCTAAATGACCCAACACAAGTCCAAATCCTAGAACAAGTTCCTCTTGTTAAGCCACGTCCCAGTTTCTCCTAGTAGGCTATTTTCCTTGCTTAGCAACTATCAATAAACCCAATCTTGTTACAGGTGGTCATTGACGATGGGCATCAATAACCCCCTTCTATCTCTTTTCAATGTAGCAAACACAGTGATTGTGGCAAGTCAGATCTTGCAAGTCTTCTGTTCAAAATGCTCCCAGTCTCATTTAAAAGCTAGTGTCCTTACAATCACCCATAAGGCCTCGGCTGAAATGGTCCTCAACCTTGGATGCACATAATTTAAAAACTGTGAATGACAGGATTCTACCCTAGAGATTGTGATTTAATTAGCCCTGCCTCAAGACTTTTTATTTCGACTTTTATTTTAGATATAGTGAATACATGTGCATATTTGTTACATGGCAATGTTGCACGATGCTGAGGTTTGGAGTACAGATCCCATAACCCAGGTAGTGAGCACAGTACCCAATAGGTAGTTTTGAAACCTACCCACCTCTCCACCCTCCTGTAGTCCATTGTCTATTGTCTCCATATTTATGTCCATGTGAACTCAATGTTTTAGTTCCCACTTACGAGTGAGAACATGTGGTATTTGGTTTCCGTTTCTGTTAATTTGCTTAGGATTCCGGCCTCCAACTCAATCCATGTTGCTGCAAAGAACTCTGAGTGTCTCTCACACACAGCCAGTGTTGGGAACCATTGCTCTAGGTGGGCTGCTCTTCCTCAGCCTTATTATCCTATAATTGTTCTCTATAATCAACCTCTTCCAGCCACATTGGTCCCCTTGCTATTGTTCAAATTCACCAGATGTGTTCCTGTCCCAATCCCTTAGTTCCTTCTTTCTGCTTAGAACACTCTTTCTTTTCTTTTGAGATATCTCAAAGCTTGTTTCCTCACCTTCTCAAGTCTTTGTTACAATACCACCTTGTAACTGAGATGTACTATGACCACTCTCTTGGAAATTGCAAAGCTCCCTTGCCTTCCCCCATTGCCCTTTCCTTGCCTCATTTTTTTTTCTACAGCACACATCCCTTCTAAAAATAGTACATAATTTATTCACTCATTATAAGGGTCAGTCTGTCCCCAGCTAGGAAGCAGGGCCCTAATATTAATCCTCTTTATGCCTTATTTTACAGAGCTATAAATTAGTTTGTGCATGCAAATTTACTTCAAACACTGTCAGCTATAAAGTAAGTGCTTAAAAGTAAGCATGTGAGTATTTATACTACATAAATTAACTAAATTATTATGTGGTCTTTTAGGTGTCTCTAAACCTATAACCCAAAGAGATAATTGTATCACATCAGAAGCAGTGTACATTTCACTCCCTACAGTGGTGTGTTTCTGCAAGGCAGGGAGACGTCGATTGCTTGGATGCTTGGAACACTTAGTGTTAGGTGGGGAAGGCTCTTTACGCCCCTTTTTTACCTATCACACACATTGCTAACCTGAAAATGGAAACAAAATGAACAAGAGTAGTGGCATGTGAGAAAAGAGAAGAACTGAATAGTTTCAGCAGATAAGCAACAAAAAGAAAAGGAAAGCCAGTAATACTTCTAACACAATTTTAAGAGTGAAGAAGAACAACGATCTTGTCAAAAAAATAATATCCCAGTCGAGCTCAAAGTATGACACGGAAAAAAAAATCCACTCTCTCCACAGTCACCATTAATAATCTAATGTATTGAAACTTAATCTTAAATAATTATAGAAAAAGGCTTTCTTGTTAAATGCCTGCTTTTATTCTCAATAGAATTTTCAACGGCGGAAGAAGAATCACGTATTTTCACTACTATCCTGAATTCTCCTAATTTAACAACATGATTATCTGCAGCAAAGACTGATCAAAATAGCATGGGTTATTTATCAGATTTTACCTGACTATAGAAATAGTTTTCACTTTTCTTTATCGGAGATCAGTGACTTCCATAAATGAGGGTGAATGGACGTTTTCTCCACTTCTTGATTTCATGCCACAGAAATGATGAGCCTTCACCAGAAACAACCTCCCATTAGGGTCTTTCACAATGACATCTGTCTAGAGCGGTTTGTCTGAATAGAAAATAGTTGTCTAGATTTTAAACTTGAGGACAATGAGAAGAGAATGGAAATCCAGTTTACTAAGGAAAAATAACTAGATAGCCTTTTTTCCCTACAGAGACTTATTTACCAATATGCATTTAATAAAAGGGGAAGATAATAATTAGCAAGTGTAGGTATATTTTCAGACTTTTTTTCCTTGTATTCAGGGCTATGGAAAAAGAACATAAGATAGAACACAGAAAACAGCAGCTCATTTTTCCAGACCTTACAAAATTAAAAGTAATTTGTAATTATACAGAGAGACACATCATAGAAATCCTTTAATATTATAATTAAGATGAAGTATCTCCAATCTAGCCAAAAAGGCCTACTCAGAAACATTTTTCAGAAAATACACTGAAAAAAGTAGTCCTAATTCAAAGACTAACACACACACACACACACACACACACACACTATCTCAAAACATATAGAGCAGAGAGTTGCTATAGGAAATTCAAGCCTTCTCTTAATGCATTTATGTAATAAAAGAAAACATAAGTCTCAGTGCAGAGTAATGCAATTATTCTTGGTCAATACTGAGTACATAAGATACATGGCTTGCAAAGTATCAACACACATAAAATGACTTTGTCTCTATTATGCATCTCTGCTGTGGAAATGCCAGTGTCTAATGCACATATTTCTGTATTTAGCAGATATACTAGTTTGAGGAAAATATATAACCAGCATCTAAGATTGAATAAATAAATAAATAAATAATAAATCACTCCTTTTCCTTGTACTATTCAACCTTGGCTAAGGTTTCATTGAATTCAACTACTCAGTAGAGACTTACATGTTTTTTTTTTCTCATGAGTAGACAGAAAAGTAGAATATAGGAAATTGTTTAGAATTTTTTCATAAAATTAGTACATGCACTTTGGACTAAATAGGTTTTAGACAGAAATAAATTATAGTGCTCACTAAATGTTGTTTGGAAATATTAAAATGTCTTTACAACTTACAGAGCTGCTTAAGTAAATTTTGGCTTTCTTGCCTACATTACATAGCACAGCCAGTACAAAATAGTTTATATATGTCCTGTTAATACAATGTAGGCGTGAGAAAATGTACCATTTATACTATTTGACACATAATATCTTCATTTTCCAGTATACACATTATCTCTTGGAACGAAAGAAAGCACTACATAAAGTAGCATTATTTATTTTAGTCTTGAGGAAACAAAGTATTTGTTCACAAAAATAGGAACTTATAAATAGTATTTGCATAATCATGAAAAGTGAAAGTAAATTTCAAAATGGACTTCAAACACAGGGACACTGCCACAGTTTTACTTTGTTGATATGATTGTTTATTAGCATAATGTTTTGGGGAAACATTTGGCAAAATGTGTTGAATGTCATTAAATGACAATTTAGGCCAGGCATGGCAGCTCATGCCTGTAATCTCAGCACTTCGGGAGGCCAAGGCGAGTGGATCACCTGAGGTCAGGAGTTCAAGACCAGCCTGGCCAACATGGCAAAACCCCATCTCCACTAAAAATACAAAAATTAGCTGGGCACGGTGGTGCTCACCTGTAGTCTAGCCACTAGGGAGGCTGAGGCAGGAGAATCACTTGAATCCGGGAAGCAGAGGTTGCAGTGAGCCAAGATCGCACCACTGCACCCCAGCCTGGGCAACAGACCAAGACCCTGTTTCAAAAACAAAACAAAACAAAACAACAACAACTACAAAAAACTTAAACCCCAAATTTCCCTTTTTATGATCTATCCTAAAGAAACAATTCAGAGTAACAATTTTGATCTAAGAAAAATAAAGATAAGCTTTCAAAAATGATGAGGTAGCATTTTGATTGGCCTCAACATCAAATAACCCGTCCAGGAGAAATGGACTTTTCAGAACACTGGAACTATGGGAAGACACCTAGGTACTGGCTCTGCTCTCTGGAGCTCACTCCTCATCTGCCTTCTTTTAGGGTTTGTCCTGATGCCAAGTTTGACTTGAGAGCTAAGATGTGCAGATCATGTTAAACATTCCCTTAAATGAAAACATACAGAGTATTTGTCTAGTTCCTCATAAATGGCAACATGATCCCAGGCCTAAAATCCACCCTGGCATTGAACTTTTCTGATACACTGTAATTTCGCTATGTCCAGGCAAAAATTACATCCAACAGTGATTCACCCTGCAGCCTGTCCCTTAGAGTTTCTGAAGGTCCAGAGAAGTTTTGTTGAGATATGTTGTATCTGTCATGCTATGTAGGTTTTTCAGCCCTTCAGTTATCATAAATAAAAATCAGAGATAATTTAACATCATCATCAGTGTGTGGTGTTTTAACTGGCAGAGAGAGAGAGACTCCTTGAAAACCTGTACACCTGGGTTACATTTTAAGTAACTGCACTTTTATATCATAATATAAATAAGTATGGAAACATTTGATTAAATCATCCAAGGCTATCAAAATTCTGCAAAACTTCCTAACCTTTATGTATCCCAAACAGTTCTTGAGCAAATCCAATAACTTGTTCTCTCATTTACCAAAATTGGTTGCAATTTATGTTTGCTATTTTTTTCTACAAAATCTGAAAATATTTCAAGGCACTGAAGACCTAAATTTTTAGCAAACTTAATAACCCGTTTGAAGTAGGCCATAATCAGTCTCATGTAAAAAAGAAAGTAAATTGTGTTAAAGATGGTTGTGAAAGTGAGAAAAATTAAAATAAATAGCATTAAAATATTAAATGTTTGAAATTCAAGAATAGCAATGGTCCTTTTTAGGAGGATTTAAGTTCATAAATAGAAATCCTGAGGGTGGCATTGCCTTTTCCTCCTTATAAGAAACCCCTGTTTTTTCAAGCAATTAAGGTCTCTGTAAGAGAAGTGATATGCTCATTTGTTCAACATTAGAATCGCAGCCTAAATTTTGCATGCTTCCTTCAAACCTTTTTGCTGCAAAGAAGACAAGAAAAAAAAAGACTCCTACTTCTCTGTATTCTTCACTGTGTCTTTACCTCACCTCCACTCATTGCCAGAATCTTTAATGAAAGGATTCACAAAAATGGGATGAAGAATTAGCATTTCTATGAATAAACAGATTCACAGTATAAAAATTAGTTTTTTCAAAAAAGCAGGCAAAAAAAAAAAAAAAACCCTCAAAATAAGACTTTAGAGAACTGGAGGTCGTTTGCTAATTTTCTAATTCAATTCCCTATGAGGGTGGGTCCATTATCCAAATAGTGATCTTTTATTTTCCTTTTATGTCTAAAAAATTATCTTTTAAGTCCCCGAAAAGCACTATAGGAATTAAAAGCAATTTAATACATTTCAGATTATAAAATGTACTGTGATTAAAGAAATAATTACTAAGGAGAAAGTATTAAGTATTATTTTTTAAAGACATTCACTCCTTAAACTTCTCGACAGCATTTACTAAGTGACCATTTGACATATTAGAGACTAAGGGCATCGTTTCTCCTCCAAAAGTGAAGTTTTGATCATTGGCTTCAAAATTCCCATTGCTTAAACTGCTCACGTAGGGAACTTTTCACATTTTCTAAAAACATCATTCTCAATATAATGATGACCTTAAAAGGATAGAAAGGCTATACGATTTGCAGTTAAGAACGTAGGTTTTGGGCCGGGTGCAGTGGCTCACACCTGTAATCCCAGCACTTTGGGAGGCTGAGGCGGACGGATTACGAGGTCAGGAGATCGAGACCATCCTGGCTAACACGGTGAAACCCCGTCTCTACTAAAAAAATACAAAAAAAAAATTAGCCGGGCGTGATGGCGGGCGCCTGCTGTCCCAGATACTCGGGAGGCTGAGGCAGGAGAATGGCGTGAACCCGGGAGGCAGAGCTGGCAGTAAGCCCATATCGCACCACTGCACTCCAGCCTGGGCAACAGACTCCGTCTCAAAAAAAAAAAAAAAAAAAAAAAATGTAGGTTTTGGAGGCAGACTGTGTTTAAAATGGAATTCTAACTGATAAGAAACTAAATGACAAGAAAGTTCGTAAAATGAGGAAAATAGTACCTCTTATATTTGTTTTGCTGATTAAAAGACTATATAGGTAAGGTTCTTAAACCATGTACATTTGGTAACAGTCTTAATGTATATCAGAGACAGGCCTAGAACTGTTAATCCCTGGCAGAACTTGCAATAGACACTCTTCTTACACAGCAAGAAAACTAGAAAACATCTTAAGAAATTCCTAAAGTATAATAATAATAAAATAAAAAAAATTGCTGCTGAGGACTTACCTACTTTCTATTGAATATATTTTCCAACTTCCTAGAGTTAAAATAGCTACTTGTTTACATCTCTATTCCAGTTATCATTACAACACTATTAAATCGATACATTTCTTACCTAATAGACTAAGCTTCTTTTCTTAATTTTTAAAACAAATTTTATTATGTATATTAAAGATATACAGCATAAGGTTATGGGATACATATAGATAGTAAAATGGTTATTACAGTGAGGCAAATTATCCATTATCTCACATAATTGCCCTTTTTTTTCTTTTTTTGTGGCAAGAGTAGCTAAAACTTACTCATTTATCAAATCTCAAATCTCAAATCTGTTATTAACTGTAGTCCTCAAGTGTTATTAACTGTAGTCCTCACGTTGTACATTACATCTCTAGACACATTTCTCCTCCATATCTGTTACATCGTATCCTCCGATCTACATATCTCCATTTCCTTCCCTTGGCCCCTGCCTCTGGTAACCACTGTTTCATTCTCTATATCTGTATATAATTTTTAGATGCCACCCATAATTGAGATCATGCAATATTTTCCTTCTTGTGTTTGGCTTATTTCATAGCATAATTTCCTCCAGATTCACCTAGGATGTGAAAAATGGCAGAATCTCTTTTTTTAAGGCTGAATAATATTCCACTGTTTCTTTAGATACCACAGTTTATCTATCTGTACATCAACAGACACTTAGGTTGTTTTCATATCTTGGCTATCAAGAATAATCCTGCAGCGAACATGGGAGTGCAGATAGCTTTATGAAGTGGTAATTTCATTTTTTCTGGGTATATACCCAAAAGAGAGATTGCTAAATCATAGGGTAGTTTTATTGCTAATTTCTTTAGAAACCTCCATACCATATTCCATAATGGCTGCACAATTCACATTTGCACCAACAGTATGAGTACTCTTTTCTCCACACTCTTACTAAAATGTGTTACGCTTTTTTTTAATTATAGCTATCCTAATTGATATGAGGAGGTATCTAAAAGAGTTTTGGATTTGTATTTCCCTGATGATTAATGCCAATGAAATGTGGAATATCTGTTCATATACCAGTTGATTATTTTTATGTCTTCTGTGGAGAAATGTCTATTCAGGGCCTTTGCCCATTTTTTATCTATTTATCTATTTCTGAGTTGTATAAAATCTTCATAAATTTTGAATATTAACCCCTTATCAGATATATGGTTTGCAAATATTTTTCCCGATATGCAGGTTGCTATTTTATTTTGCTGAGTGTTTCCTTTACTGTGCAGAAGCCTTTTAGTTTGAGGTAATCCCATTATTTATTTCTGCTTTTGTAGCCAGAGCATTTGGTGTGATATTAAAAAATCATTGCCAACTCTAATGTCAAGGAGTTTTTCCCCTATGTTCTCTTCTAGGAGTTTAATGATTTCAGGTCTTAAATTTAGGACTTTCTTACATTTTGAATTTATTTAAGTGTACGGTGTAAGACAAAGGTCCAATTTCATTCTTTCGCATGAGAACGTCCAGATTTTCCGGCACCATTTACTGACGAGACTATTTTTTCCCTACTGTGTCCTCTTGGTGCCTTTGTCAAAACTTATTTGGTCTTTTATGTTTAGATTTATTTCTGAGCTCTCTGTAATAGATTATGTTTCTCGAGGGAAATGATCACACTTTCTTCTTACCAAATCTCTTGGTATAGAAAAGATGCTCATAAAGTTTTTTGTGGGTCACAGCATGGCTGCTTGCCAATGTATTAGCACTCAGCAATGGCCCTGATTTTTCTCATCATTCTCATGTATGTTTTGAATGCAGAGGAAAGAGTCTCTCCAACTCTTTGCGCCACCACACTTCTGGAAAATGTCTGTGTTCCTCCACTGTCTTGACTCAAAACCACCTTGGTTTTCACCTCGGGTATAGGTAATCAATAAAATGGGATGCTTCTCTTGCCTTTCCTCTTGCCTCTTTTTAATTGTGTTCAATAGTACAGTTATTAAAATACTTTTGGAAAAGCTTATCCACCAACAGACAACCTTCTTTTTTTTTCTTCTTCTGTATTACTTTTTCAGGGATGCTAGGATAGTTTTAGAATCATTTAAGTAGAAAGCAGAAAGAATGGAGGCATTGCCCTGGAAAAGGACGAACTGAAAGGAGACTCTTAAAGGTGGAAAAATATATAGAACTAGGCAGGATCTATAGTTTTATGACCATAGAACTATTTATTGATACACTATCATTTGAAATAACATTTGTAAGCAGTATAAAGTCTTCTACTGCTAGTTGTACTGAAATAGCAACTGCTTACGATAATAAGAATATTATGATGTTAAAAATAATTTAATAAAGAAATGTTTATAATACATATATTGTGATAAGAAAATATAAGATCTACCCTCTTTTTTATGGGGGGGTGGCAGACAGGGTCTCTCTCTGTCACCCAGGCTGTAATGCAGTGGTGTGATCTCAGCTCACTGCAACCTGCACCTCCTGAGTAGCTGGGATTACAGGTGTGTGCCACCATGCCCTGATAATTTTTATATTTTTAGTAGAGATGGGGTTTTGTGATGTTGGCCAGGCTGGTCTTGAACTCCTGGCCTCAAGTGATCAACATGCCTCAGCCTCCCAAAGTGCTGGGATTACAGGCTTGAGCCACTGCACCCAGCCAGATCTACCCCCACAACACATTTTTAAGTGTACAATACATTGTCATTGACTTTAGATACCATGTTATACAGCAGATGTCTAGAGCTTATTCATCTTGTTTGACTGAAAATGTATGCCTGTTGATTAGTAATTTTCCACTTCCTCTCCTCCCAGAACCTGGTTACCACAATTTTACTCTTTGATTCTACAAATATGACTACATAGATACCTCATATAAGTGATGTCATGTGTTACTTATTTTTCTATGACTGGCTAGATACATCCTTGCTCTTGTGTTTTGAGCGCTATCCTGCATATATTTCAAATATTATTCTCCAACAGGGCAAAACTGAAAGTTAGCAGGACGTTTTCATTCATCGCCTCTAGTTTAAAGCGAATCTGGTTTGTTCTCACCGGCAAGTCATTTCCATCATGCAGAGGTCTCTGTTCTGACTGTCTTCATCATACAATGCTCACTTGAGTAGTGTGCACTTTACGTTCAGAGAGTAAATATGTACATATAAATATTTGCCGAAGGAGTCAGTAATGCACTCACAGCAATTAGTTTCATGTGCTCCCTTTGGGCACTCAGTTGGAAAATCGCGTATCTTCCTGGATGAAATACAACCTGCATCCTCACCAGGCACAAATCTGGCTTCAAAATTGAGATTAAGAGCATACAACAGGCTCTCTCCCTTTAACAAATAAACAGAATGCAAAATTATTTCATCAACACTAGCTTTTAAATATTCTGAAGGAGAAGAAGCTTGATTAAAGGCCAAATCAAAGTAGCACTTGCGATTTTCATCACGCGGACTGTGAGCAGAAAACTACAGCTCTAAGATTGCTTTGAAGTGGTGCAGCCATTTGTATGCCTGTTAAAGATTTCAAAACTTCAAGTCCTGTACAGGGTCTGGGTAGTCTGGGTAAACCTTTGGCCATTCTGCTCCATACATATAACAATTTACTGTCAATGGAGCATGGCACGTTTTTAAATATTCCTTTCAGTTTCTCTCCATAAACTTCTGCTCACTACTAATACTGAACTCCACAAATGAGATCCTATAATTGTCTACTGGACATATTTGCAAAAACAATAAGAAATGCCTTTTTTTCCTTTGTGTACATCCATTGATCTTTCAGGAATCATTCATGTAATCTGTCCTAATTAGATATATTATCTATCCAACTGATTTGGTGTTCAGATGGATGCACATATCCATGAATCCTGAGTGAATTTAAGAAAAGAATTCTCCATAAGCAAGATCAAGTGTCTCAAAAACTTTTGCTAAGGTTAACTTTAGTAATGATTTAAAACCTTTAACCACACTTTTGCCTCGGTAAGAGCTCAGGAAAGGCTGCCCCAAAGTACTTTGAACTGAAGGAGATTGGGAGGTACCCCAGGAGCAAGGTCACTCTGAACTTCCCTGACCTTTCTTTGTGAGCGCTGGTCATAAACAAATTATCTGGCTTATCTTGCCTGAAATTAGGTCACAAGATCCTCATTCTAGAGGGGTCCTTTCCTGTTCCCAGGGGGGAAGAAATTCTACACAAAGGAGTCAAGGAGACTCTGAACACAGAGGCTTTGCTAAGTTTCCCTGCTCAGTCTGTTACCATTGGATCATACCCTTTTGTCCGATCACATTTCAAAATGGCTGTTTGCTCTTCACCAAAACTAAGCAGAAAAATACACAGTTTTCTAAATAGGAAAAGGGGCTGAAAAACAAATAAAAACGAAAAAATAAAATAAAGCACATGCTTTTCCCTGGGACTTTGCATCTTCATTTCTGAAGGCTCCTGTGTCAAGTAAAACTTTGATAAACAAATTTGTTATGCTTTTCTCTCATTAAACTGTCTTTCATTCTCGGAGTGTCAGCTGTGACCTTTATGATGGGTGAAGAAAGGTTTTTGTCACACCTTTCTGCCCCTATACCTCCAAATACTACATTACAAGACAGTGCTCTTCAATGTCAACTTTAATGCTTTTCAGCTATTATGATTCCGGTGATGTGGTATTTAATTAAGAGAAAGAAAATCTTTAATTAAACAACAAAAATAAGGTAATCCTGTTTAACCCTTAAAAACTCGTGAATCTTTTTTTTTTTTTTTTGAGAGGAATCTTGCTCTGTCACCCAGGCTTGAGTGCAGTGGCGCGATCTCGGCTCACTACAAGCTCCGCCTCTTCGGTTCACGCCATTCTCCTGCCTCAGCCTCCCTAGTAGCTGGGACTACAGGTGCCCGCCACCATGCCCTGGCTAATTTTTTTGTATTTTTAGTAGAGATGGGGTTTCACCATGTTGGCCAGGCAGGTCTTGAACTCCTGACCTCAACTGATCCGCCCGGCTCAGCCTCCCAAAGTGCTAGGATTGCAGGTGTGAGCCACCGTGCCTGGCCAAACTCATGAATCTTTAAATGAATCCTTAAATCTGCTGCTCTGCACTCCTCGGTGTCTATCAGAATCATACACACATGTGCACAGACACGCATGCACACACCCATGCACACACACACACACACATGCACACATGCACGCACACACACAGACACACAGGCATGCACACACACACAGACACACAGGCAGACACGCGCACACATGCACACACACACACACTTGCATGAACACATGCGCAGAGCTTAGAATGGTCTATTATGCATGCAGGATACACATTCTGAATAAAGTAAATACACGTTAACCCAATATAAATTAGCACCCAGGGCCGGGCGCGGTGGCTCACGCCTGTAATCCCAGCACTTTGGGAGGCCGAGGCGGGTGGATCATGAGGTCAGGAGATCGAGACCATCCTGGCTAACAAGGTGAAACCCCGTCTCTACTAAAAATACAAAAAATTAGCCGGGCGCGGTGGCGGGCGCCTGTAGTCCCAGCTACTCGGGAGGCTGAGGCAGGAGAATGGCTTGAACCCGGGAAGCGGAGCTTGCAGTGAGCCGAGATTGCGCCACTGCAGTCCGCAGTCCGGCCTGGGCGACAGAGCGAGACTCCGTCTCAAAAAAAAAAAAAAAAAAAGCACCCAGAAATATACACTCTCTCGAATGAAAAATGTCTTTAATAAAGGACCTTTAATTAAAAGTTCTTTAATCGCCTCAATCCAGAATCATGTGACCCAAATTTTTCTTGATTAGTCCATTCAGCTCCTGTAAGAATACAACTGTTGCACTCACTAAATATGTTGTTTAAGTATATATAACTTAGGAATATACAGTATGTCTGATTTTCATATGCAAATCTTTTCCATAGATACAGATTAAGAAAAATAAAGTGTGACACTTTTCAGAAAACATTTTTAATATTGTCAGATTCATTGAGATCTGAGGGTAGGAGTGGTCAGAGAGAAACATCAATTAGTACTAGAAAGAGAAAGTAACTGAAGGTATAGTGTACATTCTTTCAATGTGTACATGATCCCAGAATCTAAATAATGATTAGGTTTTAAAATACATAGTTGACTATATGAGATCCATTTTTATGGCAACATTTCTGGCCTGTAATTGATATTCTCTCCAAAAAATTTAGTCAAAGAATTAGACAAACTCCATCTGTGATCTGAAAATATTAAATTTTGAATAGAAACACAGAATTTTAAGGTCCAGTTTTAAATTTTGGTTGGCCTTACATCATTTTCCCAAACACAACCTTTTTGCTTTTTTTGAACTCCTGGGTGATCCTGAAATATGAATATTATTACATGCTCATTTGAAGTTCTGAATAAAATTAATGGAGAAGTGAATATTTATAAAAGTGTATTTAAAATATGCAAGATAATTATAATTTTTTCATAATATTTATAATTAAAATATTTGGATGCAATAATTTCAGCTGCAAGCATAGAATATTTTCCATATTACTGGAAGAGAGGCCTAAGGACTAGACCAGATGTTTACCTTTTAAAATATATATATATATATATATTTTAGGTTTCAAGAACAGGTGATATAATCCACACCCTGTATTAGGTATTCGTGACTCTAATACATTTTATATTTTGATACTGAGAAGAGCTTAATTCAATGTTTAAAACAGCAACAACGACAAGGAAAAACTTACACTTGCTTTGTGTACTGGTCCTTGGTAGTGATTTATAGGAAATTTCACATTCCTGGGACACACTGATGTCATCTAGAGCAACGGTAGCATTTGACGACAAAACAGTAGCTTCCAAAATTAACTATAATTACAGAAAGATAAAACTGTTAAAAACACATCACAAAAGTAATGTCTTACAATCATATTTCTTTGTGTAGAGGAACCCTATTTACATCTGTCCCATTCTCCAATCTAATTTTAGAAAACTGTTCTGACCAGAACATCCTAATTTAAATTTATAAAACCATAACTGCTTTGACAGCATCTTATGTACCTTAATGCCAAAGGTAACCTTGTTTCAATTAAAAGTGGTAACATTCATCACGAGTGAAGGGCTCTCTTCTCATTGGAGCCATTAAGAGTCATATGCATTTATAATGAGCTCTTTGGGGTAATCAACTGTGTGACTTACAACTCAATTTAACTGAGATATGAATTGATTTGTAATCAGTGTGCTGAAGGCAATGATTTATTTCCATATTAAAATATTTAAATATTATATACATTCATACAAACATAATATATATTATATACATACACAGAAACATACTCACTGTAGTAAAGCACACATCAATAACCACATACAGTGGTTGATAATATTCATATGCTGAAGCACTCAGAGACATCTATTTAATTTTAGTTTATTCTAACGCTGAATAATGACTGATATAATTTGTTTTCTTTCTTGTTAATTACTCATATTATGTTGTTATTCCAAGAAGAAAAAAAGAGAGAGAGAGAGAGAGAAAGGAGGGAAAGGAAGAAGTAATTTATGCCAGGAATCTTATGAACCTGCATAGTGGACCACCAGTCCAGGACACAGACAGAAGGTACATTTCTATCCTGTCAAGGAGGGTCTCCAATCTCAAGGATCATTAAATTTACTTGTGCCAGGGCTCAGAACATGCTATCTCAAAATACAACACCTTGGAGTCAGAACATGCTATCCCAAAATACAGCACCTTGGAGTCCCTCTCTGCCTTCCCCTCTCTTTCCTTTGTGAGAGCCAGCCATAAAGGAATTATCCGGCTTACTTCTCCTCAAAATAGGTCATAAGAACCTCATTTAACTGGTGTCCTACCCTATCTATACCTGGATGAAAGAAACACTACACAGAGAGGCCCATAAAGATCTTTGCTGAGTTCTCTCCAAGTTTTTACAATGAGATCATATTCTTTCTGTCCATTTGTATTTCTTCATGATTGTCCATTCATTGTTGAACTTAAGCATAAACATAGAGAGTTTTCCCTGGTCTTCAGGCCTTTGTTTTTGAAGGCCCCTATGTCACATAAAATGTTAATAAATTTGTTATTTTTTTTCTTTTTAACCTCTCTTTTGTTATAGGGCTTCCAGCCATGTCCCTTGTGATGAGTGAGGAAACGGTATTACTTTTCCTCTCCTACACTTCGTATGATACATTCACTACCCTACATCATAAATGCTGTATAAGAAATAAGTATAAGATACTAGGAGACTCAAAGAAGACACTTCATTATTTCTGCCAATAATGAGAGTTTGGGAAAAGATTTGGTGGAGAAGTAATAGTAAGCCTCCATGATACCAAATTTTGTTGGGCAAAACATTTTACCTCGAGAAACTGAGGCAGCAATCGCAGCAAAAACACAGAGATGAGAAAGTGTATTGTGTGTTTAGAAAATGTTGATGGGTGTTAACGGAGTATAAGATTTTAAGAGAACAACAAATTAATCAGATAATAGATGGAGAGGAAAATTCCATGAGTTGGTACAGCTCAACTGGAGAGAAACTAGACAGCATTTGTTAAAAAGAAAAATTGCATAGACTATAAAAATTGAGTTAATTTCTTGGCATTTATCCTAGAGAGACACTCAAAGGTATACACATGAAGGCTTGTGCAGGAATGTTTATTTCAGTGCTGGTTTTGATGACAAATGACAGGAAAGAACTTACATGTGAATGAATCAATCAATAGTGAGAAATACTATACCAGTTAAAAATAATATCTATCGCCATGTGTCATTATGGAAAGAAATTCAACATGTGTTTTGGAGTAAAAAAAATAAGTTACAGAAAAATATTATAGTATAATATTACTTAGGCTGAAAACATACAATGGTTTAGATTTCCAAGTATATGTGGTACATTTATACATATTAAGTAAATAGAAAATGGACTGGAAGTAAAAATAAACTGGTATCTAAAGATACTCAAGATAAAATCTATGGTGGGTGATAAGGGTGGTCAGCAGGGACTGTTGCTTTATTTGCAATTTTTGATATTTTAATGTGATGTACATAATAATTTTTAAGATTCTGATTAGAGATGATTTCTGTAGAATCTTAAACTAAGAAATTTAGCCTTCATTCCAGAGGCAGAAAATAACATAGGTTTTGAAGAAGGATCTTGGTAAAATATACACAAGTATTGTACTTTAGAAATATATTGTGTTTAATACCATTAAGTGACTGTGATTTTTTTGGACAGCTTAACTTTTGAAAGAGTTTTTCTATATTCATGATTATAATACATCTTGCATTGATGTCAATTAAAATAGATGTTTAATTCTTCAGACTCATTAGACAAGCATTTGTTGACCATCATATTTGAAGGTCTGTGCTACTCAGAGAAAACTGGAGGAAAAAAAACGACAGTTTGAGGCACTTCTCTATGCTCCTAAAGAGGTACACGCTCACATTATTTGAATGGAATGGGTGGGCCCTGGGATGAGGTGAAGTAAAATCCTGAGGTAGTCTTTAAAATGTGGTTACATTACTTTACCTGAAGGGACCCACCAGGTTCCTTTAGATATTCATATTAAAATGGAAGGATAAATCCAACTTCAAAAGCCAAATAAAAATAATATTAGGTCATCTATATTTTGCTTGCTTTCTTCTACATAGTTAAATTCATAATTATACAATTAGAAATTGTAATTCTACCATTAATTAAAATCATACGAATTTTAAAATACAAGCAATTACTTCCTTCAAAAAATGTCTGTTACACCTGTAAATAATGACCATCTCATGGTTTCAAAATCACCTTGGCTGTTCCTATTTTTTATTGCTGGTTTTAACCAAACTGATATATACATATACATATACATATATATATGTGTATATATGTATATATATGTATGTGTATATATGTGTATATATGTATATATGTATGTGTATATATGTGTATATATGTATATACATAACCAAACTGATACATATACACATATGTGATATATGATATATATCACATATATGTGATATATGATATATATCACATATATGTGATATATGATATATATCACATATATGTGATATATACATATATTATATGATATATATCACATATATGTGATATATACATATATTATATGATATATATATCACATATATGTATATATCATATATTATGTGATATATATCATATATATACGTATATACGTGTATATATGTATATATATGTATGTGTATATATGTGTATATATGTATATATATAACCAAACTGATATATATACACATATATGTATATATGATATATATATCAATATATGTGTATATATATCGTATATTATATGATATATATACGTATATACGTGTATATACGTATATATACACACACATACACACATATATGTGTGTATTTATATACACACATAGACATATATATGTGTGTGTGTATTTATATACACACATAGACATATATGTGTGTGTGTATTTATATACACACATAGACATATATATGTGTGTGTGTATTTATATACACACATAGACATATATATGTGTGTGTGTATTTATATACACACATAGACACATATATATGTGTGTGTATATATGTGTGTGTGTATATACATGTGTGTATATATATATATATATATATATATATATGTATATAAAATATAAAATGTTGTGACCAATTCCCTTTCGGAACTACAGTCAGCATCAATTGGTAATCAGTAAGTGAGAAAGAGGTCACTCAGAAGAGCTGTTTCAACCACAGATGGAGGAAGAGTGAAAACCTCATTTGATAAGATTCTCAAGGTAATTGAATAATTTACATTTTAAATTGAATTAGATGACTCACTCTTCTAAAACTATTTTTTGGGATCTTGTTGATTTTTGTTTTATTCAATTATATTATTCCTTCTATGAAAAAAATAATTTCTTGCTTTTAGGAACCACAAAAATTCATAAATGTTCATAATCAAGTGATTACTTTTTACAAGTGCAAAACTCAGGTGCTTTTCCAGACAAATACGCAATTAACATAGAAATCTTGTTTTCAAAAAAAATAACGGGAGCAAAAAATGAATATGAATCCAAGAGAAAATAGAGATATAGTAAGAAGGAGTAGAGAGTAGTAGGAATATATTAATTTTTGAAGAATGATGATGGTATCAATAATAAGAGCAGCAGCCACCTTTTATTTAGCACTTACTATATGCCAGTCACATTCACTTGTTTTAATCCTGTGAAGATGATGCTATTTTCATCTTATTTTAAGGTGAAAGAAACAGAAGATTAGAGAATAGAAGTAATTGGTTGAATGTCACATGTCAAGTAAGAAAAATATGTAAGCTGAGCCATTAATGATTATACTATCCTGCATCTCTCTAATGAAATAAAGAGATAACTGGGCTTTAGTGGATGCTGCAGAATAGGGCTGTCTGGAGAAACAAGATTTCATGCAGCTCTAGATTAAGCAGGCCAAGGACCCAGCAACTTTACGGAGACTCGATCACCTTTTACTTTTGTGTTATGAATCTTACCCTTCACTGAATCGTCAAATAATGTCAGGAAATTGTTATTGATTTATATCATTGACTCCGATAAAGACAGAACATGGTATCCATCATTGTGTGAAATTTCACAAAAGGTTCATTTCAAAATGAAATCTAAAATATGATACAATTACATTTTAATGGGAAGCTCGAAGAAAGTAGAGCAACTTGAAATCAATGGACTACTCAGAAAAAGTGCCACCTTGAGATACTAAAACAGCACAATAGTTAGGGGGAAAAGAAATATTAAAAGAATCTATTAGTGTGAAAAGCTGAACATAGCAAGTGAGCAGGCCAAGTTAAAACAGATTTGAAAAATGCTATTAACTCTTTGACCTAAATTTTTCCAATAAACTCTCACAAGAAATAGAGGGAATATTGAAATGTCATTAATTTGCTGTTCTTACAGAGAAAACAGTAAACCTAATTCTTTGCCAGCAGGAAGAGCAAATGCCCTACCTAACTAGGGGTGCTTATTTGCTATGAAACCCAAAGCAATTTGTATTCTGTTATATTGTCTACAATTGACATCAAAAGAACCACACTGAATCAGAATTTCATGGCTAAAAGGGAACACAGAGGTCACATGATTTGATGTCTTTCTTCTTTCCAATATTTGGACTGGATTACACTGTACTGTATAAATATGTTCAGAGCTTAGACACGTGGAACTGAAAGCTAGACAATGACTAAGGTCACCCTTAAATGACTCAGGCTACTAATCTTAAATCCTAGCCTATTTCCAAGAAGACAAACTTTAAATATTTGAATATTTAAAAAGCTAGATTAACTATTTGTAGGTAGAATATCTTTTTCATTTGTTGTCGATAAAAGAACAAAGTAGAACTGTACCTAGCTAGAATCCTCATGTATATTTTCATATCTTTAAAAATACACTCAGAGAAATCAGGTTAAAGCCAGCATAATATTAGCATCTTTTTTTTTCTGCAGAGGATAAGAAATGGGATGGAGAGAGATACAAGGAAGACAAAAGTTGCATCTTCATAAGCAAACAAACTTTAACATTATAAGCAAACAAAATGTTAACATTAGTTAATCCTGAGCTGTATTTAGGTATTTGTTTCTCTCTGTTTTAACTACTAGTTAGAAATATTTAATAGTAAATATATGCAATACTCATGTATTAAATATTACCATGTATGTATCTGTGCAAGTGTATCTATTTTTATATATTGTGTATGTATAAAATCCAGACTGATTCACAGCAGAACATCATTGCAAGTCCACAGTTCCTTATCTAAAGTCTTTGGGGTCAGATGAGTTTTGAAATGTGAATAGCTCAGAGCTGAGAATGGTAACATAACACCGAGAGTGTTTATTACACGACACCCTCTGGGAGATTGGGGGCAGCACTGTTTAATCAAACCTATCATGAAATCAGCTGCCTAAAGGCCTCACAGTGGTTCAGGGCAGCTTGGGTTTTGCCTCTAAACTCATTTTTTAAAAGCTTATTGCTTTCCAAATTTAATTTTCTAAATTGCTGATTGGATATTATAGGGCTGTCTTGGCCTTCTTGAGAGTGAAATGTGAGGGAATTTTTTTTTCTTATTTTTCTTTTACTCATCTGTAGTTTCCCAAATAAATGTGTGCTGTAGCCAACTCATAGGCAGATTAAGTGGGGAGGCACAGAGGAAAAGTCTTAGCTTCTCTGGGGTGAATTCAATGTGACCGAGGCCTCGAAAGAACTCAGCATTGAGGCTGATTGGAGAGAAAAAGCAACACAAGGTGCTGAGCCACCAGCAGGGGGATGAAGGGAGAGGGAGGAGCAGGGCTGGGTTAGAAACCCTCACACATCCATTGCAGCCAAATCACAGAATCTAACCAAACCACTGCCCATCTACAAACTAGTTAATATGCCCCCAGATAATAAGGGATAGTCTCCATTTGCACTGCAAAGCAAAACCATTACTATATCCAAAAAGGAGAACATTAAAGAGAAAACAAAAATTGCATTCACTGAAACTCTTCAGTAATGTTGATGGGTCCATGAGAGCTTCCAGCTGTAGACAGAAATGGCATGTGTTTCAACTCATATTTCTAAATTACTTACTGCTAGAAAGGACATTCTATTTTCTTCTCAATATGTCAATTAATGACAAACTCTGAACGATCTTCTTGGTGAGTTTCATTCTAACTAAAAGCAAACCGAATGAAAACAATTTTCTATAGAATATAAATGCAGGAGGCAAAAGATCAAATTGTTCTGATTTCATTGCCCTGCTCCTTGCAATGGAGATTGACACCAAAATGATTCCATGACCAGCCTTTGTGTCAAATGCTTCCCAATTAAGAGCTGCTAGTATTCATGACGTCTTTGTCCATTAAATATGAGAATAGAATAAATTGATCTTTGAGAAGGGACGTTGGGGACCTTCACTGAGTAAAGAAGCCTTTAATGATCGAGCCTAGAGTTCTGATCAAGCGGGAATTCCCTTTTTAAAACAGAGAACACTAACATTTATTGAGTGTCTACTATTTCCAGACAATATCCAAGGAATAACTACAGCAATAAAAACAGCGGAATTCTGTGTTTGTGCCAGATTTGCTTCCATGTGCTTTACAAGTACACACCATATAATCCTCACAATAACTGTATAAAGTAGAGAACAGTAATTGATTACAGTTGATGCTTATGCCCTAGTCTTCCTGCTTTCATGGGGAGGTGGTTCACTGTAGTAACATTGCTGTTACTTACCCCTCACTCCATGGGAGGAGGAAGATTTATCTGACTGTGAAGTTAGAAGAGTAACCTGGGGGAGCTCGATTCATCCTCTTCTCCCATTCAACACCCACTATTGGGAGCCAGCCTGTCCTCAGGAGGCATGCACACTGATATTATCTCTGGCTAAAGGTAAGAGACTTCGCCTAGAGTATGAGCTCTATATTTCTCCAGCACAGTCAATTGTCCCCTGGGTAATTCTATTTATTCTAAGATCAAGCATTATTTTAAATAAGTGACTCTACATCCTAAAGCCATCTGCTCCAAAATATGTATTCTCTACCTGTTTAACCTCTATATTTATCTCAATTTGTTCAGAAATGAGGATGAGATGACCTTAAATCCCCAACTATTATCCTCACACCCCACTAATGAAAGAGGCATAGAGGGCTTCGGTAACTTCCCTATAATCATACACTTTTTTGTTTTTGTTTTTTTAAGATGGAGTCTCACTCTGTTGCCCAGGCTGCAGTGCAGTGGCGCCATGTCAGCTCACTGCAACTTCCACCTCCCAGGTTCAAGTGCTTCTCCTGCCTCAGCCTCCAGAGTAGCTGGGACTACAGGCACGTGCCACCATGCCCGGCTAATTTTTTGTATTTTTTGTAGAGGTGGGGTTTCACTGTGTTACTCAGGATGGTCTCGATCTCCTGATCTCGTGATCCACCCGCCTCAGCCTCCCAAAGCGCTGGGATTACAGGCATGAGCCACCACCCCCAACCCTTTAACTTGAACCCAAGTTTCCAGAGCCCATGTTCATGGCTGCCATTTTAGCTATATTATCTTTAATATTCAGACTCCCCTGGAGTATTGCTTTTATCATCACTGGTTTTCACACATTAGGAAATTTGATGCACAAAGACAATATTTACACAGTCACTTAGCAACCAATGAGCAGAGCAGAGACTAAAACTCAGACCACTGACTCCAAAACAGTGTGCTTTCCACCATATTCCACTCCATCCAATCTAGTTTCCAAAATAGCTCTTTTCAAATGTCATCCAGAAGACTTATATACAGGAAGGTAGAAATTAGAACACCCATTTGACAAGACACAATTGCCTTCTTTTATTATTATATTTTATTAATACATAGTAGTTGTACATATTTATGGGGTAAATGTGATATTTTGATACATGCATATAATGTGTCACTATCAAATAAAGGTAATTGGGATACCATCTCCTCACACACTTCTCATTTCTTTGTGTTGGGAACACTCCAAATCTTATCCCCTAAATATTTTGAAATACACAATAACTTGTTATAATTGCCCTACTGTGCTATCAAACACTACAGCTTATTTCTTCTATCTAACTAACTACATTTTTTAACCATTAACAAAACTCCCTTCCTAACCTCCTCCTCCCCACCTTTCTCAGCCTCTAGTAACCACCATTCTCCTCTCTACCTCCATGAGATCAACTTTTTAGTTCCCACACATGAGTGAGAACCTGCCATATTTGTCTCTCTGTGCCTGGCTTATTTCACTTTGTATAATGTCCTCCAGTTCCCAAAGGTGGATAACATTCTCAATGTTACCAGGCAGCAGAAAGTGAGGCAATAGGATTAAAATATTACAGCCCACGTCAGACTTTTTCACTACATCATATAATCCAACGTCTTCACTTAGAAATGATTTTAAGTTACTCTTCTCTCTGCCATCTTATTCATTTCTTATCTCCATTTTTGCTACTATTCTACACATGTCTTAAGTGCATAGTCAAAACAACCTCTCTACTCATCACAGATCATGTGTTTGATCTCTGAATGTGTTTGCTTCATTAATGTTGAATAAATTCATGAGCTATGGTGTTATTTTGTTATCTGAAAGGATTAGCATTAAATAAGTGTCTTCTGTTGCATTGTATTAATTTCATATGTGCTCACCTGAAAAGGTATGAGCTATGTGTGTTATATTGTTATCTGAAAGGTTTAGCATTAAATAAGTGTCTTCTGTTGAGTTGTATTAATTTCGTATGTGCTTACCTGAAAAGGTAGAGTAGATTCTCCCGCTTCTGCAATGAGATCAATTTTTGCGTGGCTCCACTGAGATTCGGAGAATCTGATTATTTTGCCCTGCTTTTGCAAGTTTCCATCTAGAGACGTTCTTGTAAAAACTGAGAGATTTGAATGTTGAGACAAATGATACCAAAACTGCACCTGTTGAAAACATGTTTTCAATGATATAAATATTCCATTGACCTGTCTCTGGTAGTTTTTCCTATAATTTGAAATATTCCTGACCTCAGGTGATCTGCCTGCCTCGGCCTCCCAAAGTGCTGGGATTACAGGCATGAAACACCATCTCTACTAATAATACAAAAAAATTAGCCGGGTGTGGTGGTGCATGCGTGTAATCCCAGCTATTCGGAAGGCTGAGGTAGAAGAATCACTTGAACCCAGAAGGCGGGGAGGTTGCAGTGAGCTGAGATCACGCCATTGCACTCCAGCCTGGGCAACAAGAGTGAGACTCCATCTCAAAAAACAAAACAAAACAAAACAAAACAAAACAAAAACAAAACAAAACAAAATATATATATATATATATATATATTCCAAACAACTTCTGTGTTAAATATAATCTTCTCAATTCTCCTTTCTCCCAGATGTGTAACCCAGTCATGGGCAGTACCACTGTTTCCATGGAAGTTTCCAGAATCCTTCTCTCTGGCTTCTTACAAATATGAGAGGTACACATTGAGACTCAACGTTACAAAATCAAGTATTACTATACATACTTGATGTTTCAAACAAGAAAAAGTTTCCTTAAAAATCATTTTCTTAGGTTAATTTTAAAAACTGTAATTAATACTTTATATCAATTTAGTCTCTGTGGTAGCATTAACAAATAACGTGGAAGCTCACAGGATACTGTTCATCAATAATTGAGCCAAGTAAGACAACATTCTTTGAGGGTAGGGAGGCTTAATCATTTCACTTCCTATTCACCATCAATAATGACACAATCTAAAGGTTTGATGGCTTAACTACATAGTGAAGAGAATAGAGAGGATTATGCCAGGTGCTGATAGCAGTAGCCCTAACATGAAATTGCGTACTGTTATTGATTCAACCAATATTTACTGAGCACTTTCTAAGTACCTGGAGCTGTATGAGGCAAAAATTAATTCCCTCAATGTTGTTTGGATGATTCATTCTGTAAAATATGCCCACAAAACCTCCATTAAAACAAGTTCAGATATGCTGCAGTCAAATGTTTTTGCCTCTTCTCATTATCATATAACAGGTCCTAAGGCTGTATGTTTTAAAGAAAAACCCAACATTTAAAGATGAGGTCCCACAAAAGTGGAATACTTCTCTTTAGATTCAGTGACATTTTTTCAGGTTCATTATATTTTAAATTCTTTTTAAAAAATGTTTTCCCATTCATCATTGTGCTTTTATACTGATAAATGGACAGATTCTAGTGTATATATAGGCAAGCCATGTATTTCACTGTTGGGACCCAATTCCAGTGATGAATGTTGACCAAAAAAAATGTTTTAAATGCTTTTTTAAAAAAATTGTTCATTTTAAAACACCAAGCATTCTATTTGGTACACATTTTTATCAATGTCTACTTAATTGTGACCACCTGATTTAAAAATTCTGATTGTTTATTTCATTTCAGATTTTATTACTGTGCTTACCTTAATTCACACCTTGACAGGTGAGTTAGAAACAAAAATAATGGAAATGTTTAATTAAATTCCATGGAAAGAGAGGATTCATGTTTCTCAACTGCAATTACATTTTAGATCCCTGCTGTAAGTTTCACTATGTCCCAAGCTTGTAAATATGCAAAACAGAGCTTTAAACCTAGTTGTACAAGAGATGTGCATGTCCCATCAGAATTCTGAGCTGTCAAACTGTCACTCAGTACATCACCAGTGTGAAGTTATTTTAATAGTGTATTAAGTATAAATGCCAATGGGATCCATAGTCAATGGGATAAGAGCTCAGAACTTATATTTAACTTACTTTTTCTATAGAATTTGCATTATGGAGACTTAAATTCTTAAGTTATTAAATACCAAGGAATGTTCCATTATCTTTTGAATTTTTGAGGGTGAAATCACTGAACAAAAGTTATTGATACAGCCCACAATTGTTTTCAACTCATTGTTTTTCCTTTTTACTTCTATTTTAGGTTCAGGGGTACATGTGAAGATTTGTTACATAGGCAAACACGTGTCACGGGGACTTGTTGTACAGATTATTTTGTCACCCAGGCACTAAGCATTGTACCCAATAGTTATCTTTTCTGCTCCTCTCCCTCCTCCACCCTCCCCCCTAAAGTAGACCCCCGTGTCTGTTGTTTCCTTCTTTGTGTTCATTGTTCTTATTATTTAGCTCCCAACTTGCAAGTGAGAACGTGCGGTATTTGGTTTCCTTTTCCTGTGTTAGTTTGCTAAGGATAATGGCCTCCAGCTCCATCCACGTTCCCACAAAAGACATGATCTTGTTCTTTTTTTATGGCTGCATATTCCGCAGTACATATGTACCACTCTTTCTTTAACCAATCTGTCATTGCTGGGCATCTAGGTGGATTCCATATCCTTGCTATTGTAAATAGCGCTGCAATGACCATTCACATACATGTGAATGTATCTTTATGATAGAATGATGTCTTTTTTTTTTTTTTTTTTTTTTTTTTTTAGACAGGGTTTCACTCCAGTTGTTCAGGCTGGAGTGCAGTGGCATGATCACGGCTCACTGCAGCCTCAAACTCCTGAGCTCAGGTAATTCTCCCAACTCAGCCTTCTCAGTAATTGGGACTACAGGCTTGCACCACCACACCCAGCTAATTTTTTTTTAACTTTTTAGTAGAGATGAAGGTTTCACCATGTTACCCAGACTGGTCTTAAACTCCTGGACTCAAGCACTCCACCCACCCTCAGCTGCCCAAAGTACTGGGATTACAGGCGTGAGCCACTGCACCTGACCTATAGTAGAAAAATTTCTAGTACTGTGGGTATATGTACCAAGTAATGGGATTGCTGGGTGGAATAGTAGCTCTGCTTTTAGCTCTTTGTGGAGTTGCCATACTGCTTTCTGCAATGGTTGAACTAATCTACACTCCTATCAACAGTGTATAAGCATACTTTTTTCTCCACAACCTTGCCGGCATGTTATTTTTTGACATTTTAATAATGGCCATTCTGACTGGTGTGAGATGATATCTCATTGTGGTTTTGATTTGAATTTCTCTAATGATCAATTTTAAGTTATTGATACAAGCTGTAACTTCACATAAGCAGTACTCAAGTATGGAAACTCTGTGCCTCTCAACCTGGTACATGCCAGTAGCAGAACACTAAACCTTAAACTCCAAATCATGAAACGTGTCATAAATTCCTCACAGAACTTATTATAGTAATTTGTATTTTCTAAGTATTCAGTTAATTGCATTAAAGAAAAGAAGAAAGAAATGAGTAGACTGTCAGTAAATGCTTATAAACATTCAGAAATATATAGAGAGAAAGTAACAGAGAGAGAGAGAGAGGAAAGAGAGGAAGAAAGATAATCTATTCTACGTCAAAAAAATGTATAAGGCATTACAGGTCCTTAGGGACCTTTGAGTCTTTTGGAGGAAGAGTGGCAAAAGAAAATGAACATTTAATTATAATGAGCATAACTACAAAATCGTGAAAATAGTGTGGCTGTTTTATTTAAATTAATTAAAATTAAACAAAGTGAAAAATTCATTTCCTCAGTTATGGTTTTGTTTTTGTTGTTGTTGTTGTTGTTGCTGTTGTTGTTGTTCTTGAGACAGAGTTTCACTCTGTTGCCCAGGCTGGAGTGCAGTGGCGTGATCACGGCTCACTGCAGCCTCCACTTCCTGGGTTCAAGTGATTCTCCTGCCTCAGCCTCCAGAGTAGCTGGGACTACAGGCACGTGCTACCACGCCCAGCTAATTTTTGTATTTTTAGTAGCAATGGGGTTTTACCATGTTGGCCAGGATGATCTCGATCTCCTGACCTCGTGATCCACCTGCCTCAGCCTTCCAAAGTGCTGGGATTACAGGCCAGAGCCACTGCGCCTGGCCTCTCAGTTGTTTTAAATGCTCAATAGCTCTATGTAGCTAGTAGCTACTATACTTAACATAGGGAACATTGTCCATCATCCCAGAATGTTGCATTAAACAGGTCTGCAAAGCATGTAAGTGAAAATTACAACAAACATTCAAATTTTATTTACTACTTGATCATTTTTAAAGGAAATTTTCTTTTTTTTTTTTTTTTTGCTTTTTTTTTCTTTATTTTTATTATATTTATTTATTTATTTTTTTTATTATACTCTAAGTTTTAGGGTACATGTGCACAATGTGCAGGTTAGTTACATATGTATACATGTGCCACGCTGGTGCGCTGCACCCACTACTGTGTCATCTAGCATTAGGTATATCTCCCAATGCTATCCCTCCCCCCTCCCCCGACCCCACCACAGTCCCCAGAGTGTGATATTCCCCTTCCTGTGTCCATGTGATCTCATTGTTCAATTCCCACCTATGAGTGAGAATATGTGGTGTTTGGTTTTTTGTTCTTGCGATAGTTTACTGAGAATGATGGTTTCCAATTTCATCCATGTCCCTACAAAGGATATGAACTCATCATTTTTTATGGCTGCATAGTATTCCATGGTGTATATGTGCCACATTTTCTTAATCCAGTCTATCATTGTTGGACATTTGGGTTGGTTCCAAGTCTTTGCTATTGTGAATAGTGCCGCAATAAACATACGTGTGCATGTGTCTTTATAGCAGCATGATTTATACTCATTTGGGTATATACCCAGTAATGGGATGGCTGGGTCAAATCAGAGCAGAACTGAAGGAAATAGAGACACAAAAAACCCTTCAAAAAATCAATGAATCCAGGAGCTGGTTTTTTGAAAGGATCAACAAAATTGATAGACCGCTAGCAAGACTAATAAAGAAAAAAAGAGAGAAGAATCAAATAGACACAATAAAAAATGATAAAGGGGATATCACCACCGATCCCACAGAAATACAAACTACCATCAGAGAATACTACAAACACCTCTACGCAAATAAACTAGAAAATCTAGAAGAAATGGATACATTCCTCGACACATACACTCTCCCAAGACTAAACCAGGAAGAAGTTGAATCTCTGAATAGACCAATAACAGGCTCTGAAATTGTGGCAATAATCAATAGTTTACCAACCAAAAAGAGTCCAGGACCAGATGGATTCACAGCCGAATTCTACCAGAGGTACAAGGAGGAACTGGTACCATTCCTTCTGAAACTATTCCAATCAATAGAAAAAGAGGGAATCCTCCCTAACTCATTTTATGAGGCCAGCATCATTCTGATACCAAAGCCGGGCAGAGACACAACCAAAAAAGAGAATTTTAGACCAATATCCTTGATGAACATTGATGCAAAAATCCTCAATAAAATACTGGCAAACCGAATCCAGCAGCACATCAAAAAGCTTATCCACCATGATCAAGTGGGCTTCATCCCTGGGATGCAAGGCTGGTTCAATATACGCAAATCAATAAATGTAATCCAGCATATAAACAGAGCCAAAGACAAAAACCACATGATTATCTCAATAGATGCAGAAAAAGCCTTTGACAAAATTCAAGGAAATTTTCTTGACGCATGCCTGCTTCATTCAAAACAAGTTAAGTAAAATGTTAATAAAAAGGGCTTGCTTTTATTTTTCTTGGGTCTCCACTAAGGCAGATTTTATATATAGTATGACTATTCATGACTTTGAATCACTGCATTCAAGAGAATTTCATGTGGTTAAAAAAGTTTCCAACAAACAGTTCTTTTTGAATATTGAAGATAAAAATGGAAGCTCCAATTATTTCATTTTTAATTGTATTCTTATGATTTTAAATTATTTCTATTTTTAAAAAATATATATGTATACATTAAATCATATATTTTACTACCAAAGGAAATAACATCTGGTGATTTACACCAGTTACTGCATATGGATGAGTACCTAAGCTGGAGAGGGGGTGACAGTCTTAGTTCCATTGGCTCTCGTGTCTGTACAGTGCCTCTGGGACCTTGGGCTCTCTGATACTTCAGTCTGGGACACCCAAGGTCATGATTCAGAAGTTCAAAATGAATTCTTCCTTATTTTTCTGTTTTCTTTCTTTCTTTTTTTTTTAATTTTGATCATCTCCTGTTGAAACCCTCCTCTTCAAATTTTCTGCCAATTTTCTCAACTTCCCTGTGGACTTCGTTCTAATTCCTTCTCAATCTCAGAGCTCCTTGGTCAAATCTTCATGGCCATTCTCGATTTTACTCCAAACCCTCAGCCACCTCTGCCTTCTCTGCTTCACATCAGACCCTTTATGCCTTCCTCAGTCTGCTTATTGCCACACTTGCTGCACCTTTATAAGATCTAGAATACGAAGATACAGAAGGATAAGAATAGCCAAAAAAACAAAATAAATAAATGGGAGAAAAGAAAAAAAACAAGCTAAGATATCTATAGCTCCTCAAAATTCAGCTGGGAATAAGTATATATTGAAAGAGGGGATCATTCATCACATACATAAACACACAGACACACACACACATCCCTCACCATTACCATAGTGATTTTTATGGCTCCTAGTCAGTTATGCTTTTTCCTGGGCATTCTTTTCCTGAACAAGCTTATGCTGAGGGTTAGAATCTTCAATAAAACCGAATCTGTTTTTCCGGTTTAAATGATTAATCTTTATGTGCTTTGATATACAGATTGGAGAGAGCACCTGCTCGCCCTTTCCTCTGTAGACTGTTGCTTCCTCTAGAATCCATCAGCTATTCTAACATTGATCTTTGGATTAAACACAATGACCAGGGAATAGAGCACAACTGCACCATTGCAGGACATGATCCAAAATTACTTTTTTTCTAAATTGTTCTTTGACTCCAGTTCATTGTCCTACTTTGGGGACATTGTAAGACATGGCCTTTTAAAACTCTTTGAGAGAGATTTGTAGAGTGTTATTATTATACTGGACTCACCCTCTTGTAGCTTGCAGCATTTTACACTGAATTGCTGTCAGTATCCCCCACTAAACAACATTTTGTTAGAGCAAGCATGTGTTTAGGTTGTTGTCATTATATTCCCTGCATCGAGGACTGTGATCAACACACAGTAGATAAGCAATATATATGTGTTGCATCGTAGGTATAATGTTTACTTTGGTAATATAGCAAGCACTTGGGAGAAGTCTCAGAAGAACTATTTTCAGTTTTGTTTATTTCTCTTTACTTCCTTGAATCTGAACCACATGTGGCCCTCTCTGCATTGGCAGACTCAAATATGTAGGCTGGCCCTCATAAACTTTACTTTGGGATCCAACCTATCTCTGGTTTCAACTACCTTTGTCCTGACCTTCTCATTCATATTTGTAAAACAATCTATGAATTATCTTTTACTGAAGGAATATTAATGTAATTGCAAAACAAGTTGGAGAATTAAAAACAAAAGAAAGATCAATAGATGAACATACAAACTAACTTTGAAAGCAAAAGCTTCATATTATCCATCTTCCTGTATTTAATTGTGAAGTCCTAAAAGTAAGAGATTGTGTTACTTACACAGTAACTCAAATATGAAAACTCAGAAAATATTAGTACCCACATTAATCCCCTTCATACTTTACATTTCCTAGTTAATTGTAAACAGTAACAGCATTTCAACAGCAGTAAGATAGAATAGCTTTGGGCTCCCTCGTGTTCTGTTTGTCCTATCTTGTATTTCAAAGAAAAATGCCAATTTTCCACTAGTGGCTGAAAGGACTTTTGAAGCATAAATTAAAGTCTGCATCTTGAACAATGATTAGCTGCAGGAACAATTGTCCATGCTGATGCCATGTGTTGGCCACATATAAAGTACAAGGTAATCCATGCAAAATGGCCCTAAAATCGTGCTGTTAGAAATGGCAACTCACGAGAAAGCTCAAGTTGCTTTAAAGTCCTTTCAAAAAAACAAAAACTTCTTAACTGTATTAGTCTGCTAGGATTATGTAGGAAAAAAAAACCATATAATTTCAGAAAATGAAGGCTTTAATCATATCAAAGTACCCCACACTGGTTATCTCACTGCTTGACTCTACTACCTTATAATGAAGAACATTGGTTCCATGAAAGCACTATTATCAATACGTTCCAATTCGGAGGATTGGCTAGATTTTCCAGTTACCCAAGAAGGTAAGAATTCGTTCTGTTTGCTTATTCTGTAACTTTTATGTAAGAAAATATCGACTGGGTGCGGTGGCTCACGCCTGTAATCCCAGCACTTTGGGAGGCCAAGGTGGGTGAATCACGAGGTCAGGAGATCGAGACCATCCTGGATAACATGGTGAAACCCCGACTCCACTAAAAATACAAAAAAATTAGCCGGGAGTGGTGTGGGCACCTGTAGTCCCAGCTACTCAGGAGGCTGAGGCAGGAGCTTGCAGTGAGCCCAGATTGCGCCACTGCACTCCAGCCTGGGCGACAGAGTGAGATTCTGTCTCAGGAAAAAAAAAAAAAAAGGAAAGAAAGAAAAAGAAAATATCACATATTGCCACAAACTTATTAAAAAAATTCATATTATAGTCTTAGAAAAATCCTGAGAACCTTAGCTATGTGTATCTCAGACTATCAATAACATTCTCCTACAGTCTACTCCTACTTCCTAAACTGGAAAGCATTACAAAGTAACTCAAATATCCTTCCTGCTAACTCAAAGACTCCTAAAATAGAGAAAAGCGTGAAAAACAAATATCTCTTCTGGCAGTCTGCAGTGGCTCCTTGAAACAGTCTCAGTTTTTCAAAAACCAAGGCAAACCATTAAGTCAGTATCCATAGCCTTTAGAGATCGAAGCCTTGGTTTTGAGATAAACTACCAAGCACCCAAAATGTCCATGACAGCATTTTCACTGAGACCCCACCTAAATAACACCCCAACCCCAACTAAGTTACCAATTTAAGCAAAAATTAAGTGTCCTCAAGTGGAAACAATGATAAACTGAAACTCAATCCCAGTGACCACAAATCAATGGCTATCAGGAAGCATACAATGATGGGAAAGGTAGATTACCTTTTAAAATCATATACATGCATATGATTTCTCAGTGACTCTAGGTGAGTCATAGGAATTTCTAATACACTCTTAATATCTTCAAATTTCTGTAAAGCAGACAGAATTAACACATCATATTCCTTTACATTCAATTTTTTCTATATATCTAACATTTGTGATCTCATCACTTTAATGTATGACCTTGAATTAAATCTAAGTTAGCTTGTACTTTCAAAGAATAAGTGCTTCTGGAGTTTCCCCTCAAAAAAAAAAAAAAAAACGCTCTATATCTATCTTTCTCTTTTTCTGTCTATCTTATAGGATTTAATGAAAATAAAGAGGTGGGAATGGGTAAAAGGCATTTGGATAAAATGGAAATGGAGACCAGGCATTTGCTTTAATTCTTATTCTCACAAAGAAATGGGAAGAAAAAAAAAAACAAAAGAAAGGAAAAGAAAGTATCTTTAGGACTTTAAAAGAAAGTATCTATGGACACCATTATTAAGAACTCAGGGCACTCCCACTTAGACTTATACCAAACTGAAAGTATAATTAGGTTTATACCTCGGAATAATATGTCATTTATCACCAGGAATGCCCGAGTAAACTGCTCTAACACTACACTTACAGGCAATGAATTTACTGTGTGGCACTACTGATCTCTTCATTATTTTCTGATAAGTAAAGACGAAAAATTAGCTGAAATCCTAAGGGCCGAGAGGCATGTTGGAGCTCTCAAAAGGACTGAAAATAAGACAAGCTGAATACAGACCTCTGATTTAGGTGTTACTTTTATGGAAAGCAAAGGAATTATGTTTACTGAATTAACATTATATTTGGTACATATATACCAATGTTTGATACAAACATTGTTTACCTACTATGTACCAAATATTTTGCCAGGTGCTTTATTTAATCACATTTTAATCCTTGACATTATTCCATATAATCGTGTATGCTTCCAATGTAAATGCTGACATTTAATGCATACAATCATGTATGTTTCTGGTGTAGACACTGCGTCTCAAAAGGAATATACAATTTGTCTGAGCCACAGTTAGAAAGTGGCAAAAGAGACTTGAACCAAGTCTAACTAGTCCGTCCTCTCTAATATGCTGCTGAAATAAAATGGGTATTTCACTCCTTAGTTTGTGTTTGCCTGGCACCAGAGGACTCATTTAAAAAACTCAAATTTCAGTAAATATAATCATTTCCATTTGTCTTTCTTTCAACAAACACTTATTTAACTGACTTTATTTTTCTCAATGTACACTGTTGGCCAAAAATTTTGGCAACACGTATCCACAGCTTTAGATTATTGAAATGACTGTGTGAAAAGAATATAAAACAACAGAAAGCTTTAATAGCCCTCAAAAGAATGGTGCCAGTTATGTGTTACAAATGGTATTCTAGAAGGACGTAGCATTTTGTGTTGAAATAGCGCATGTAAATCTCTTAATTCATCATTAAAGTGCTAGTAAAACATGGCGGGCAATTACTAGCAGAGTAACCCAAGCTCAGCGATTTACAACCGCAGAATGGCCAGTGGAAATTCAGAACAGTTGATTACCTGACATGGGGTAGAGGCAGTGAGCAATTTTGTAAGAACAGGACTTCCAAGCTTGGCCACCCCGGGGGAGCGCTGTGCCTCCAAATAAATAAACGATCCTGAAAAAACAAAGGGAAAGTCATAGGGATGCAAGTTCTCTTACACACTTAGCTGTTCTTTGCTCCACAATCTTATCCTTGCACATGCTAAACTATCAATTAAAGAAAAGTACATTTTTTACATGTTTACTATTATGGTTTGTAGATAACAAATAGCATTTATACCGGTATAACATTAAATACCTAAAATAACATTTAATCAATTAAAACAAGCTCTTGATCCAAATCACCTAAACAAACATTTCTGTTGGCTTCATTTATGTCATAGAGTTTGACATCAAATTAAATGAAGCTTCTAAGCTGACAATTAGATATTCAACAGGCCCTTATGAAATACCCACAAGAGCTTTACTTTTTAGTTTCTTCACAAAGTACCGAAGGATATGAGCTTATGGAATGAATTTTAGTTTCTCCTGGGTCTTACATGTTTGACATTGTTGTCTGTGCTAGAGGGGATTAAAGCTTAATTAAAGATCTAATCTGAACATTAACAAAATCACCGCTTTTAGATTTTAACTACGACGGATGTGCTCATGGCAAATGTGCAGGGGATAACATCTCTCAGCAGCTTAAAAGATCACAGGTTCAGAGCTGCTGTCTGGGGTAGTTTCACTGAATATTGAAGACTTACAAGGAAGGCTATACCCAACAATGTCAAGGTCTGATACTGCCCTTTGATAGTCACAGTGATAGGCAATTTGGAAAACCAACTATTTTCATTGGAAAATACCGTATTCAGAGAGTGATTTTCCTAGATACAAGTCAATGCCGACTGCACACAAAGGAAAGGATTTAGAATTAGAATGTATTATTTTATAGACTCCATCACATGTTTAACCAAACAACCAAGGATGTGAGGCAGCAGTGTCATCTTTGAGTGGGAAAAATAGAACCCAGTTTATATTGTTTTTAAATCTCAAAACCAACTTGGAAAGATAAAGATTACTGTCCCCAAATTCCAAACTACAGGTAATGGAAACAGTGCATGCGAGCAAGTTCATTAAATTCTCTATGCTTCACCTAAAAAGGAAAAGAATGGGAAAAGGTGATTTTGAAAAATTCTTCCACCTAAAAATGCTCAGGTTTAGGTAAAATTCAAATGAATATTTTTAAAAAGATGATCAAAATTCTAAAAACAAATGAACCGATATTCAAAGACCTTACTCCTCCAGTCATTCAAAAGAATATACAAATTTCAAACAAGAGGTTAACGAAGGTGAGAACATGTACACATTAAGACGCCAAAATCTAAATGAAGCAAAAGGCCTGAATAAATCGTTTAGACAACAAAAGTAACTGAAAAAGTAATGAAAAGAAAATCTAGCGAGATATGTACGGTCCCACATCTGAGTTAAATTTAATTTTCTTTTCTTTTTTTTTTTTCCTGAGACAGGGTCTGGCTCTGTCACCTAGGCTAGAGTGCAGTAGCATGATTATGGCTCACTGCTGCCTGGAACTCCTGGGTTCAAACAATCCTCCAACTTCAGCCTCCCACTGGGAGTACAGGAGCACACTACCACATACAGCAAATTTTTAAATTTTTTTGTAGGAGCAGAGTCTCAAACTCCTGGCCTCAAGCAATCCTCCTGCCTTGGCCCTTCAAAGTGCTGGGATTTCAGGCATGAGCCACTGCACCTGGCTCCCTATTTAATTTTTAAAAAACAAATATTTGCAACATTATTTGAGAAACCTCAGATCTTAGAAAAATATGGAGAGCTCCCTGATTCATATTAGGTTGCCAGAATATCTTTAATTTTTAATAAAATGGATGAAAATAGGACAAAATTTAAAACTCTAGAGAGCAATCTCACTTGTGAGCATAGGAACAAATATTCTAATTAAAATGATGTCGAATAAATTTGAAATTGTTATCCAAAAATAGTGTGTCTTGATTAATCTGAGCCTTCCAAGAATGTAGGTTTGGTTTAATTTAGGAGCTCGGTCTCCATATTCAGTTACAACAACAAATGAAAGTGTCAAGTCATAGAATCCTATCTAAATGTTGAAAAGACTATGAAAAACCAGTGAACAATTTCAAGTCACAAATCTTAATAAAATAAAAGGAAATAATTAAATAAAGACTAGTGAACAACCTCAAAATAAATAGCATTCTAAATGGCAAATGATAAAACAATATTAATTAAAATGGGAAATGACATATTTCTGTCACAACTATCAATTAGAGATAATATTAGGCAATATTTATAATCTTAGACTAATATTATCTTAAAGGTCTGGTGAGTGTAGAAGTCAAGGAAATAAAATATCTAGTAGACATTATAGAAAAAGAGAAGTAAATTTCCCATGTTTTACCAATAATATAATTGTAAAAATAGAAAGCCAAAGTATTCCATTTTTTATAATTATAGTATCATTTAGAAAATTTGGTAAGCTAAATGGAAACAGATATATTACACAATTACTTATCTTATCTTAGCAGTAAGTTTCCAGATACATAAACAGCAAGAAATGTCCAACTCCTGATAGCAAAATTAATTTTTTTAATGTAGGAATAAATTTAACAGAAAAGGGACATGATTTATATGAAGAACATTATAAACTTTGTGAAAGACTGCAAACTCTCTGGTTAGATGAAAAGAGATAACATGTTTCTAGATGGAAAGATAATAGAATTAAAATATGAAGTTACTGACCATTGATTTGGAAGCTAAATGCTATCCTATGATAATTTTAACCAAATATTTAGAAAGTTGACAATATTGTGTTAAAATTAATATGTGCAGGTAAGGGGTATAGAGAGTCTAAACTCTGACCACAGGCCCAGGGACTTCTAGGAACACGTCCCTTGATTTATCTTCCTATCAGCCTGCTCTAAACAATGAGCCAAGTTAGAGAAATGTGGAATTTACCAGTTTTATTCCTGGTCATGGCAAGGAGTTTACTTCTGGTAATCAGATTTGTTTATTGTAAAACTCTCACACACCCACATACCCCAGAGTGGCTATGTGACCAGCACAATATAAAAATTAAAGGACAGAGTGAATAGTCTCCCTGGGTTAAAGTGTTCACATCTGGCTCGACCTCACCTTCTGCAAAACAGGTACCTTGTTAATGCACTGGCCTAGAAGTAACACCTTACGTGTCTTAGGAACGTTAGAGGCCAGTCTCTATAACTTTCACAAATGCAAAAGTTATAAACAAGCATTACCATATAGAATAAAGAAATGAATAATAAATAAAATTACTCCAGTTAGGTTTGGTTCAGGAGTGCAAGAGGGGTTTAATATTTAAAAAATCAATTTACCTTATAGACAAAAAAGATAATCTGACAATCATATCATAATAGATGCTGAAAAATACTGAAAACTTTTAACATACATTCAATTTCTTAATTTTTTTAAAAAGCACACTCTTGAATAGAAGGGAACATTTTTATCTGATAAAGAATACAATTTTTCAGTAAGCATGGCACTTAAGGTTCAACTATTGACAGCTTTTCCTCTGAGAGAGAAATAAGACAAGTCTAGCAGCTACCACCAGTTCTATTCAACACATTCTAGAAATTCTGTCCAGTACATAAAACAACAAAAGGAAGATAGAACTGTTAATATTTAGAAAAAAGGAAATAAAATTGCCATTATTTGCAGACAAAATAATTGTGATCCTAGAAAATAAAATATATATGTATAAGTTCCTAGCTATGATAAATAAAATTAGCAAGGCCACTGGATACAAGGTCAATATTTTCTATAAAAATGCACTTCTATATGTCAGCAATAATCAAAATCAGAAGTTCTTTAAAAGTAACACAAAAACCTAGGAAAATATTAGCAAAAGATTTTCAAAATCTCTACCCCGAAAGCTGTAAAATATTACTTAGTAAAATTAAAGAACCCAAATAAATTGAGACATTGGAAACACTTGAAAAAAATATTTTTCAGTGAAATGCAAATAAATATTACATATGAGAAATCATTGTACACCCATTAATTGGAAATTTTTATAGAGAATTATAATGCCTCTTGCTGGTAGGAAAATAGGAAAAAGTAGTCCCATTTTGTCACTAAAAATTGAAGTACTAAAGTTTTAGGGTAAATGAATCTATAAATGTTTATTGAAAATATAAATACATATCTTGCTTAAAAAATATAGAAGTCTCACTCCTAGTTATTATCTATTGCATAAAATCGAAAGTATCCTACAGGAGGAAATGTGTACAAGAATAAATTTGAAACATCGTCATGATATTGATGTCACTGGATAGGGGAACAGCTAGATACATTATGGTATATCCAAATCAAATATATTTAGCTAAATAAACAAACATGAATCCAGTATCACAGACTAGATTTTATCTTCTGTCTTAAACGAGCAAAAGAAAAATATTAGAAAAAAAGCATATTTAGCATGGACTGTCAAATATAGGACAATGGGAATGTAAGATAGTGATAGATCACAGGATAGTGATCTCTGAGAGAGGGGAAACAAATGAGTTAAGTCCTGTAATTCCCACAGCTTACTGCCTAGACAGAGTTTCCAGGTGCCTGTGCAGAGGGGAAACACAGGAGTGTGGTAGTCTCCTCAAGTTGAAACAGATAGAGTCGGTGCTTTGGGGAGACCCACATGGGTAGAATTCATAAGACAGAGTGCCAGCTGCCCCTTTCAGGTACTGGAGCTTTGAAAAGACAGCAAGCTCCCGAAATCTGCAGACAGTCCCCCCTAAATTGCCATGTAAGGACCGATCGTGTGCATGGATTGGAGAAAACTACCTGAGTCTGGGGGTAAAAACACCTGAAATGAATAGCTGGAACATTTCCCGAAGGTCGCAGAAAGTCAGGAATGGTAGAGTTCTATCACCAACCAGAGTGCAAAAAAAACAAAAACAAAAACAAAAACAGACATAGGCATTGGATAGAGAACTCAAACCAAATAAACACTTATGTCCAGACAAAAACACGTATGCAAATTTAATGGTGTTTTTACTCATATTTGACAATATTTGGAAACAATCTAAGTGTCCTTCAGCTGGTTAGTGGATAAATGAAGTGTGGCTCATCCACACAATGGACCCAACTATTCAGCAGTGAAAAAGGAAGGAATTGTGGCTGAAGCCAGCGACATGGATGAGTCTCAAGTCCTTTATGCTAATTGAAAGAAGGCAGAATCAAAATGCTACATATGATATGATTCCATTTTCAAGACATTCTGGAACAGGCATACACTAGGGCTAGAAATCAGATCATTGATGTCAGTGGTGGGAGGTGGGAGAATTATTGAGTACATAATGGCACAGAAAAATGTGTTGGGCAGGAATAGAATTGTTTTATATCTTCATTTTTGTGATGGTTACACAATTGTGTATGTATGTCAGAACTCAGTGAACTGTACACTAAAATGGTTGAATTTTACATTTAACCAATACTTTATCATAAAAAATGAAAAAAATAGATAGTATTTGATGACTTGGAGCAACTGCCATAAGCTATCTTTAGTAAGAAGATAGGGACAATAGTTACAAGATAATATATTTCTTAAAAAACAAACAACCACAGAAACACATATAATTTTGAATATGTATGTATCTACTATATATATATCTGTGTGTGACTATATGAACATAGATAAAAGTGGAACATAATTAACATGAGTTGCCTATTTCGATGGAAATTTAACAGAGTAGGAATAGGAAGGTAGAAACGAAGCAAAAAAGGCAGGAAGGAAATTCGAGGCTTAATTACACACATACACACAAAAACTAGATAATATCAACATATCCAGCCTGGTCAACACGGTGAAACCTCCGGCTCTACTAAAAATACAAAAACAAAAAACCAGCTGGGCGTGGTGGTGTGCACCTGTAGTCCCAGCTACTTGGGAGGAAAAGGCAGGAGAATTGCTTGAACCTGGGAGGTGGAGTTTGCAGTGAGCATGGATCACACCACTGCACTCCAGCCTGAGCAACTAAGTGAGACTCTGTCTCAGCTAGTTAGATAGATAGATAGATAGATAGATAGATAGATAGATAGATAGATAGATGGACAGATAGACAGATTTAAAAGCTGCAATCTATATGTTTAAGGCTCTAAGAACAAAATGAACTAGAACTCCACTTTCTTAGATATCGGAATTATTAGGCTGCCTCTGACTCTACCAGAAATTTCCATTTCACTTTCCTTTCCCTTCCTGGTCCTTTTTCATTTTTTTAAATTCTCCTCCTCACTTGCAATTTAAAACCACTACTGATTCTCTTTAAGGTTTGATCATGGCAATCATGGGTAAAGAGATGTTGACTCCGTGATCCAGATATATATATATATATATATATTTTTTTTTTTTTTTTAATTGGCCCTTTCTAAAATGAGAAAGACTGCGTTTTTGTCCCTCACACTCTGGGTGAGACCAGCTGCCCCTAGTTTTATCAGTCATATTGTTATCTTTCACTATTCTTCATCTCACCGGAAAAGAATGGGTCTTTCAACATCTAACACAGGGGCTCTATTAGAATCTTTTTAATGCAAATCATAGTTATGTAGTAATTATAAGATGGCAAAAGACTAAAGGTGAATTACAAACATATTTTCTAATTGTCTTATCTGGTGTTTTTCCTAGTCTTCTTATTAGAATGGACAACAAATATCTATTAATGTTTATGGAGATCTTACTACATGGAAAAACCTTCACAGGTGTTATTTCATTTAATCCTCATGACAACTCCACAGGGAAGCTACTTTTCTTTTCTCTATTTTCTATCTAATAAAACTGAAGCACCCTAATATTTAGACATGGGTGCAGTGTCAACATCGTGTCGGAACCCTGGGCAGCCCGTGCTCTTCCCTAACTGGTTATGGTATGCTCACATCAGACCACCGTGACACACTGCCCGCACAGCTTCCCTTTGAGAATCACTGCCTTGGCTTAGGCCTTCATCATCTCTCACTGATATTTCTTCAGCACATCCATGTTTTTTTGACTCCAGCCTTTCACCCTCTCCATTCTCCTCATCTCAGACACAACAGCCCTTTAGAGCAAATTTGATTGGTCACATGCTTTAACATGACTACCTGGGTCACCATCATCCTGCAGACACATTTCCAATTCCTCAGCACTCTCTAGAGTCCCCTTCCTTCCTCTCCTGTTTCATCAGTTCTCTTCTCCCTGTCCAATCACACACGTCTTTCATCCCTAACTACTCCCATCTTTCTGCCCTCTTTGGGGATTCTTCCCTCCAATTAGGACATGATCCCTCCCACCTCTCTTTGGTTCCGTCTTCTCTCAGTAATTCCTTACTTCTGGCTTCCTGACTACTTTTCATTTCCCTTCACTGCTCATTTCAGGAGTCATCTCCTTCAACAAGGCATCTCGAATCCATCTGAATCACCTTCCATCCCTCTTAAAGCATCCTTCATAACCGATTGCAATTCCTTGCTTATCTACTTAAGCTACCAGACTGAGACCACCTCAAAGGCAGGGATCGTGGCATCCATCTTTGTGCATCCAGGTATCGTCTATGCTATGTATTTAATAATTGGCTTGAACAGAGAAAAAGAAGTAAAATATTATATGAGTTTAGAGAAAATGTGTTGTTAATACATAGTTACAATGATTTATAGTCCCCTTTCTATTTTAAACTTTAAACTTAACTTTGTCTGCCACAAAATGTTAAAGAAATGAGTCATGGCACAAAAGCAAAAATTAAGAACTTACCACACTGTTAAACAATTAACTAGATTTATGGCTGTAGCCAACAGATGGATGGTTGAATTTTCCCACCCCATCCCCTAGCACTCTCACCCACTACCACCAACCCCAATTTCCAATGGCTGTAATTAAAAATATGATCAATACTTATTTTTGGTATAATTCTTTGGAAGTCTGAAAGAAGAAACAAATAGGATAATGTTCAATGAGGTTGAAAGATGATCTACAGTACAAGTACAATTGTGCTATTGTAAGGTTTGCCAGGTGTGGTGGCTCCCTCTTGTAATCCCAGCACTTTTGGGAGGCTGAGATGAGAGGATTGCTTGAGGCCAGGAGTTTGAGATCAACCTGGGCAACATGGCGAGACACTCTTTACTTAAAATATATACATTTAAAAAGTAAAGTTAAGACGATGCTAACGTATATGGGGAATGACATCCGATGACAAATGTGAACAAAACAAAAGAAAAAAGAGAACAAACCCTTTCTGTTTTATTGGAGTTTCACAGACACTTATTGGAAAACCACAGGTAGTTATGGTTCCTCTATTTTAAGATGATATGTAAACACTGGAATGATGGTTAAAAATATATATGTGGAAGAATAAGACTGTTTATTATAAAGAAGCCCGAAGACTGATTAAATTGCATTCAAGTATTTGTAAATTTATTTCACAGATAGTGCTAAATCTCTGTTCTCAGTTCCCAGAAACAAGATTAGACTATTTTTCTTCCTGTTTTGAAAAAATTGGATTGCTCTAAAAAGAAGGCAAGCCTACTGTACTTGATTCTGGGCAACTTGAGAAAATGATCAGAAAACTTTTCCACCTCTTTATGCCTTTAACCCAACTCATAAAAAGTGCAACAACAAACATGTTGGTGATTAAAACAATGCTCCTTTCAGGGAACTCAATTACCCGCCAATTATTAACTTGGTCAGGAGGTTTTAAAGCAAGACAAACCAGAGTTCCATGTATACAGTCTACAGAATAGAAATGAAAATACACAGTATCATCATTCCACAACATGCAAGAAAGAAAACTATTTTTTTTTAAAGAGGAAAATGTCCTACCATGATTTATGTTTGCTGTGTGATCAGCTGCAGGAAAGTGGTGCTCTCCATTATTCAATCCTTTCATCAGCTTCCAGTGTGAATCTTCTGTGAGAAATGGCTCCCAACCGCAGAAACCCGACTCAAAGTCACAGGTGAGATGCTTTGCTGTTACACGTAGAAGAGAAAACAGGTGAGGAGAAATGAAGAGCATGCAGGCAAACACTGCTCTACGCTAGCTAATCATCTTAGGAGGCCTGCAAAATTATTCTGCTTGGTAGTGAATATTCTCTAATGATCGGAATAGCTTTCCTTTATCTAGTCACACACAATATCTCAGGTGCTGTGTGAGGCATGACCCTTCCACATGCTTCCATCTGTAAGTCTGGTACATTTCATTCTGGTTGGCCATCTCCATTTTATTTAATGATGCAAGGTGGAACTCCAAAGCTTCTCAGGGAGTAACTAATTTGCTTGCCCAGTATAAACCTGCTGAGATGGTAGTTTAAATGAAAAAAATCCACTGGGAAGGGGGAAGTTTAAATTAATTCTGGACACACAAATAACTTGAGATCAGCATCTCAGTATGCATTTTATTATTCTATCCTAACACTTTCTCAAAAAAAAAATACCTAGCCATTTTGGAATTGCAGGTAAATTAGATATTCGGAACTGAGCTGGTGTTATCTTTTGTCTTTTTTTTTTTTTTTTTAAGGCAGAGTCTCGCTCTGTCACCCAGGCTGGAGTGCAGTGGCGCAGTCTCAGTTCAATGTCTGAATGCAATCTCCACCTCCTGGGTTCAAGCAATTCTCCTGCCTCAGCCTCCCAAATAGCTGGGATTACAGGCACATGCAACGATGCTCGGATATTTTTTTTTTATTTTTAGGAGAGACAGTGTTTCACTACGTTGGCCAGGCTGGTCTCGAACTCCTGACCTCAAATGATCTGCTCATTTTGGCCTGCCAAAGTGCTGGGTTTACAGGCATGAGCCACTGTGCCCAGCCTGAGCCTGTCTTCTCTTAATACATAACTCAAAAGTTGCCAAGCACTTAATTTCCTCCATTTATCATAAAAGAACTGGTTCTAGAGAAAGTCGGGGTTTGGAGCATACTTTATAGGCACCTTTCACAGCTTTGACACCAAATTTATGAGAGAAAAATAGATGGTTTCATAAGACTGGGCATTCAACTAGAAAGTCTAAGAGCTTGATTTCTGCTTTCGAGAAATTCATTATTATGTGCTTAAATTTCGTTTTCCTAAAATAAGAATCATAGTATCAGACTATCTTAGTACTTTTGGGAATAAATTAATACAATTAATTTAAAAGCTTATTCCTAAATATTCCTCTTTATGCTGAGGCAGTTTTCAAACAGTGGGGAAGAAAAGGAGAATTAAGTTGTCAGAAAACACCCATAGTTTTGACAGGATTCCTAAGATCTTCATGCTATCATCTTTAATAACAATAAAAACAGCCAAACTACCACTGAGTTCCAAGTATGTAGCAGGCATTTTACATATATTAACCTTAATTCTTAACACTCTACATAGTAAATACCATTTCCTAAAAGAGAAAATTGGAACTCAGAACATGAAGCAACTTGCTTGTGGTACATTTTAGTAAATGGAACATCTAGACTTTGAACCTGTCTGACACCAAAAGCTCATATTCCGAAGCCTCCTTAAACCAGGAACTCTGTTTCATAATTAAAAAGACTCCATCACCATGGGTTTGCTTCTGACCATTGTGTTCAACTTGTAAATTTTAATACGGCCAATTTAACCAGCATATCAAATAAGCTCACTATATCTTAATAATCAAAGCATCTTCAAGTCTCTGTAATAGGGACACCTGATTTTATGACCACATATTTTATCACTGACATGTCAACTCTTAAAACATTGAAGTGCGGTATGCAAATGACAATGCCACTTCCGATTTCTCTACATGCAAACTGAACCTTTAGATCTGAAAGCCGTGCTTGTTAGACAGTCATAGAATAGACAGTGGGTCTTCCATATCTGTGGGTTCCTTGTTGCAGATTCAACCAATAGTGGTTCAAAAATATAGTATTAGCAGGATGTGCAACCTGCAGATACAAGAGCTGACTTTTCCCCAGGGCTCAAGTTCTCCAGGGACTTGAGCATCCATAGATTTTGGTACAGCATTTCTTTCATTACAAATGAATATTATTTTTCCCTCTAAATGGATTTCCCTACAAATAAAAAACAAGAAAGTTGACTACAGCATAATAATAAAAACATGTTGCACATCGCCTAATGGTGCACTGCTATGACAGGGAAGTGCAGTTTGCCCATATACCTAGCTGGAAATCTATTGCTCTTGGCTATGTTTTTCTTTTCTTAGGTGTGTCTACATAATTTATAGGATATGGCTCTTGATAAAACATTACTCCCCAGGGGAGAGTGTCTTCTGTTTTCTGACACAATCTTGAGCACTTACAACCTAGCTGTGACTTTCTCCCTGGGCATTTACAGAACCCTCTGGTCTAATCCCTCGGTTCTCTGTGAGCTCTGCCACCTTCTATGCCACCTCCAAAATGTTCTGTCAGTTGGTGGAGTATAGAAATATTTAAGACTCAAAGTACATATTTGGCCTCTGAAATGTGCTTCAAAGTTCCAAATTCTTGGCTGTGGATTTGACGAAGGAATCCTTCCACCTCTCTACAAGGTTACCTCCAATTCCTAGAACACACTTCCCTGGAATACAAAATCTTTCATGAGTAGAGTGACCACATGTCTTGCCTGGCCCAGGGTTGCCTCAATGCATGCCTGTTGTCCTAGTATAATAATTAATACTTCATCTCTTCTTTTCCCTCTCTCAGTCCCTGTTTGGGTAATAAACTCAATATTGCACTGTTAGGGCAGCAAATTATGCATTGCTATACAAGTCCATGCAAACAGCAATGTTCTTCATTCAGATATCTGCTGAAGGCACCATTCTAATTTCCCCAACAAGGCAATGGTGTGAAATGGCAATGAGATCGATGAGTGTGAAAATGGAAAGTACCATATGACTGATGCATCCCACACCCTCACCCAGACTCTTCATAATTGAGCTAGTCGCTCAACCGCAAAGACATAAAGAAAGAAGCTCTCAAGATAAAAGCCACTTTTGATTGTATAAATGTTGAAATTTGGCTTTAGGACAAAAGTTCAAACCATTTCTTTCATTACCTAGATGTTTTATTGGTTAAAAAATGTCAATCATTGTGCTTTTTACAGAATGCTAAACACCACCATCCTTTGAAAAATGAAAATTAGCTTTCAAAATCCGTCACCATAAAGATGTGTGAAAGCAACATGGTGACATGGTGCAACCACCTCTGTAAGAACCTTGGTGAATTGATTGGCTGTTTTTACTAATGTGTTCCTGTACACGTAAAAGAATATTTTTTAAAGCTAAAAGTTCAAGAACTTCACTGTACTGTAAAATATAAATCAAATTCCGGTAACTAAATTGAAGTTCTTCCATTAATATCTCCCCTGTGTAATTCAAAAACTTTAAAGTGAACTTATAAATATCTGAAGAAAGCCGGGAGAGTCAAATGCATTCTGGCAATTATTAAATGTCTTATCATACTATATGTGTTAAATGTAAACATTTGCAAAATCTAAAAAAATCTATTCATGTTATAAATAAAGTACTTTCATTAAAACAATGATTTTGATTACTTAGTTGCCTTTATTTTAACTTTCTGTGATTACAGAATACGCTTCACCATCTCTAAGCGCAGTATGAGATATGGCGCTGTTCACAGTTTTAGAGAAATTTTACTCAGAGTTCATCAGTTAAAGTAATATTTTAAGATTATGACAAAGCTTTCTCTTGCATATTTAACCACTGCAGCATATGGGCAGACAAGAAAGAATTTCATTGTTCAGCTGAGAAAAAATCTGGATCATGAAAAGTAAAATATTTTATGAATCCTCTAGAAGTTAATCAGCTCTCTGTGAAATAAGAAACAAAAAGCTATGTATGGGAAATGAATGGGGAATATTTCATTTAATGAGAATATATTAGATTTTAACAGGATTACATTATAAATATTTTGTTAATATGTATTGGAAACCCACACAGATCATTGCTACACTAAATATTTTTATATTGGTATTTCCTTTCCCTTCATGAAGTGTTTTAGCATTCCACTTTTTTTTTTTTTTTTTTTTTTTTTTGAGTTAGAGTCTCGCTCTGTCGCCCAGGCTGGAGTGCAGTGGTGCAATCTTGGCTCACTGCAAGCTCCGCCTCCCGGGTTCACGCCATTCTCCTGCCTCAGCCTCCCGAGTAGCTGGGACTACAGGCGCCCACCACAACGCCCGGCTAATTTTTTATATTTTTAGTAGAGATGGGGTTTCACTGTGTTAGCAAGGATGGTCTGGATCTCCTGACCTCGTGATCCACCCGCCTCGGCCTCCCAAAATGCTGGGATTACAGGCGTGAGCCACCGCACCCGGCCCAACATTTTTTTTTACATGAAAGACATCTAGAGACAATATCACAGTAAAAATTAATGAATCATACAAGATCCTTGGTTTAAATTTCTTTCATTTGACTATTATACCAACGTCCCCTGTGAAGGTACACAATTCATATTAGCATTTAAAATTGTTTTTAAAGTCCTATAATTTAAAAAACCCCTTTTTCATGGAATTTCCTGAACTATTTTGATTTGAAGATGTATCTATCATGCCAACTTTTCTGGAACACAGTGAAGTAGATTCTATATATATATATATTTTTCCTATATGAGTTATTGAAAATTGTATATATAAATACAAATGTGTATTTTATTGTGGTAAAATATACATGACATAAATGTAACATTTTAACAATTTTTAATGTAAGCTTCTATGGTATTAGGTACATTCCCATTGTCGTACAACCATTACCACCATCCATCTCCAGAACTTTTTCATTCCCAAACTGAATCTCCACCCCCATTAAGCAATAATTTCCATCTCCCCTCCCCTCAAACCCTGGGAACCACCGTTTTACTATCTGTCTCTATGAGTTTGCCTACTTTAGGTACTTCATATAACTGGGACCAAACAATATGTGTCCTTTTGTCTCTGGCTTATTTCACTTAACGTCTTCAAGGTTCATCCATGTTGTAGCGTGTGTCTGAAAATTAGATCTATTTCATGTATAAACTGTTCAGGGATCCAACGTGTATCTTTGGACATGTTTGGCATGTTGTATTTTAATTATTTTGATAGAGATTTTTAAAACATATTGCATATATATGTATTAATTTTTTAAGCTTTATTGATGTATAAGTGACAAATAAAATTGTAACTAAGGTACGCAATGTAATGTTTTGATATACATATACGTAGTGAAAGGATTACTACAGTAAAGCTAATTAGCATCATTTCATCATATAGTTACCTTTTGTGTGTGTGATCAGAACATTTCAGATCTACTCTCAGCAAATTTCAAGTATACAATACAGTGTTACTAACTATAGTCACCAGGCTGTACACTAGACTCCCAGAACTTATTCATCTTGTAAGTGAAAATTTGTATCTTTTGACCAATACCTCCCCATTTCGGCCAGGCCTCAGCCCTGGACAACTGCCATTCTACTCTCTGTTTCTACAAATTCAACTTTTTTAGATTCCATGTATAAGTGAGATCGTGCTGTATTTATCTTTCTCTGTCTGGGTTATTTCACTTTGCATAATCCCCTCCACGCTCATCATTGTCACAAATAGGAAGTTTTTTTCTTCATTATTGCTGAATAATATTCCATTGTGAACACATATACATTTTATACACACACACACACACACACACACACACATACACACACACACACACCCCACTTGTTTGATCCATTCTCAGAGACTTCAGTTGTTTTGGCTGGATATTTTGAATAATGCTGCAGTGAACATGAGGGTGCAGATATATTTTAATCTTAACTGCCCTCATTTAATACAGGATTATGTTAATAAACATCAAAAATCTATTGTTTGGTTTTAGAGAAATTTTACTCACAGTTCATCAGTTAAAGTAATATTTTAAGATCATGACAAAGCTTTCTCTTGCATATTTAACCACTACAGCATATGAGCAGACAAGAAAGAATTTCATTGTGCAGCTGGGAAAAATTCTGGATCATGAAAAGCAAAATATTTTATGAATCCTCCAGAAGTTAATCAGCTCTCTGTGAAATAAGAAAGAAAGCTATGTATGGGAAATGAATGGGGAATATTTCATTTAATGAGAATATATTAGATTCTAACAGGATTATATTATAAATATTGTGTTAATATACATTACAAATACACATTATAAATATTTTATTAATATTGATGCTCTTAAGGACTAGCAAAGTAAACAGAGTTTTTGCTTCTACCCTGAGAGAACTCTGACTTGTTTGCCTTTAGTTTTTATCAATTTTTTTAGATGCCATCTGTTTCTTCCCCTAGCTGTCTTCCTTCCTCAAGCCTCTTTGGTACAGTGGTTCTCAAAGTTTCATATGCAGACAAGTCACCTGGGACCTTGTTCCATGTAGCTTTTGGTTCTGTAAGGCTGGGCCAGGGCCTGAGGTTCTGCATTTCCACTAAGTTCCCAGGTAATGCTGATGCTCTGGTCCATGGAGTCTGCTGCTGCAGCAAAACCCACAGGCCGTTTTTATTAACTGATTTTGAAGAGCCACCGGTCTGGAGGCTATGTTATGCCATATATTAAAATAATACCGAAAAGTAAGGGCAACTTGACAATGACAGAAGACCTGAGTGAGTCTGCCTTTGGGGAAAAGCACACTGGCTGTGGAATACCAACTGACAATCCTCACGAGTTCATATTTACTCATTCTCCAGAATTTGGTAAGTATTCCTGGTGCTATTCAAACTGCCTGCACAAGCTATACCCTTCTAGAGATTCATTCTAAAGTGCAAGAAAAAAAAGATATAAAGGTATTTTTCTTGTGCTTCATGAACATGGAAGAATCGTTTATGAAAAAAACTTGATATTACAAATTCAAATTTGTAAGATACAAATGTTTTCATATGTGTAAAATGTTTCAATATGGTTTTAAATTTCAAAGGAAAGCCTCTTTTATTTTGTAAGAATATACATATGCACGTGTCTATATGCACAAATATATTAAATACTTTAGTGCAGCAAATAGTGTAAATTTATATCAATTCTAATAATCCAAATCTATATAATTTCACAGCATACATAATTGTATATATATTTACATGAAACACTCATTTTGGTATCAAAATACATGAATACACATATATACTGTATGCAATATGGCTACATTTTTATGACATATTCCCTATATCAAGTCCATCTCAATCATGCAAACATGACAGGTTTTCTTTGGACAAATGAGGTTACACTATTTAAAAACTTAAAAGACTAATAAGTAACACTGTTTTTGTTGAGAAACACAATTACCCATTCCTGCATTCACCCAAAGAAAATAGCAGAATATGGCATCAAGATCTACTGAATTGGAAAAATGTCATATACATAATCAATGAAACTTCAATAAATGAGAAAATATGTCGAAAATCAAATGCTAAACAATTTTTTAAAGGTGAACATAAAGTATGATTTACTACGGGGAATACAATGGAGGGGAAAAAGCTAAGCTTCCAAATATACAAGTGCCCAGGTGCAGTGGCTCATGTCTGTAATCCCAGCACTTTGGGAGGCTGAGGCAGGTGGATCACCTGAGATCAGGAGTTCAAGACCAGCCTGGCCAACATGATGAAACCTGTCACTACTAAAAATACAAAAATTATCTGGGTATGGTGGCACATGCTTGTAATCCCAGCTACTCTGGAGGCCGAGACAGGAGAATCACTTGAACCCGGGAAGTGGAGGTTGTAGTGAGCCGAGATCATGCCATTGCACTCCAGCCTGGGTGACAGAGCAAGACTCTGTCCCCAAAAAAAAAAAAAAATTAAATACGTGGAAAGAAAGGAAATATATTTTCCTTCAGTTATTGACATTAAGAATTATAGAAACTGTTAGAAAGAAATATTTCCCCAACAGAAATGAAGCAAATTGTCTGTAAAAAATTTAAATAAAACATAGAAAGAAACTTCACATACATTGGAGTAAATAAATTGCTCTTACATCGTTTGTTTTGAACAAAAGAAGAGAGCAGCCCAAAAGCTCCGTTGAGCTCACACTGGTTAGCCGATTACTTGGTTTAAAGCTGAAGTATTAACTGGATTGCTGTTGATGAACATGGCAGAAGGGGATTTTAGCCTTACTTTCTCATCTCCTCTCTCCTGTGTCCCTCCGCGTTGCTCTTAATAAAATCCAAGCTTCCCAAGAGAAACCAATTATACAGAGCTTTTCACTTAAAAGGTGGCATTTATCTTATTATAATATTTTCACCTCTGCTCAACAAAATATCTCACTAAAATAAGACACTGCAGTAAAATAAACGTCAAATTTTTAATATCTTTTAAAAACCACCTGTTTGTGATACAGAAATTGGATTCATATCCTTGGAATTCATGTTTTCTAAAGAGACACAGGGATCTCAGTTGCTAAGTTACCTCATATGAGAATCATCCTGTGGATTGTAAATTAAATTATATTTTTGTTGAACTATGACTATGCTTGAATAGTAATGGGATCTCTTGTCATCACTTCTATCAAAGACTCTTCAGAAAAGGCCTGAAAGAAAGGTGTTGGGGCACTTTGGCCCTCCCAAACGCCAGTCATGGCTGAAGTGATTTCTTTTTTTTTTTTTTTTTTTTTTTTCAGACGGAGTCTCACGCTGTCGCCTGGGCTGGAGAGTGCAATGGCATGATCTCAGCTCACGGCAACCTCCACCTCCCATGTTCAGGCAGTTCTCCTACCTCAGCCTCCCAAGTAGCTGTGATTACAGGTGCCCACCACCACGCCTGGCTAATTTTTTGTATTTTTAGTAGAGACGGGGGTTTCACTATGTTGGCCAGGCTGGTCTTGAACTCCTGACCTTGTGATCTGCCTGCCTCAGCCTCCCAAAGTGCTGGGATTACAGGTGTGAGCCATTGCACCCGGCTGGCTGAAGTGTTTTCTAGGCAAGTAAGAGGAGAGCGGCCCTTCCTCCAGGGCAGCCATGATGGCTGAAGTGATTTCTACAATCATGGTAGCTGCCCTGGAGGAAGGGCCACCCTCCTCCTACTCATCCCTCCCAGCTACAGCTTCCAAGATGATTGACTAGAGAGGAAAAAAGCATACACAATAAAAGTTAGCAACCCATACTATATGCCTCCAAGGCAAAGGTACAAAAAGTTTCCTTCTACCACCCATCTTCTCTTTAATCAAAGCACACACATTCGCACACCCAGCCAACAATAATCACAACTATTCATTTGTAGAATAAATTGAGAGATGTTGCAGACTTTGCAACAAGCACCAAAACATTAAGTTAAAATAGAGATCCCTGAAGGCATAGTACTAATAGTTTCAGAGCGATAATGCATATTTATCACATTTCATACATATGACTTACCTTTGCCTTGATAGAAACAAAGACTGTTTTAAATCCAACTAACAGTCTTGAATTAGAGCATGTAAACTAGTAAGCCATTCACTCACTTACAGCAAGTTGCTGGGTCTTCATCACTCTCATCGGAGCAGTCCTGCCGAGAGTCACAGACAGATTCTTTGGCGATGCACTGGCCACTAGTGCAAGGGAATTCGTCTGCAGAGCAAAGCTTTCTGGATTGGGTCTGTCCACAGGCATAGACCCAGAGGTGATCAAGGGCAATAAAACTTCTCTGGCTCAAAAGAGTCCCTTCAAAAATAATCTTTAGGAAGGAAAAGATTAATTTATGAGTTTGCAATCTCCTTAATAAGACAAAAAACTAAAGAAGGTTGATAAAGACAAAGTAGTTATTGAGAAAAAGTGTTTAAAGCAACCAAGGCAATATATAACAAAGTTCCTGTTTGATAACCTCAACCCATGCTCATACGACTGACATAACAAACCTGCAGGTTGTGCACATGTTCCCTAAAACTTAAAGTATTAAAAAAAAAAAAAACTGATGGAAACATTTGCTCCACTAAAGGCTCAGAGAAACCTCCCAGGATCAGGCAAAAAACAAGCATCCCACCTAACTATAAAAAATGTCCCTGACTGCAAACTTGTTACTTGGTCATCATCTTTACAGCTCTCTTTCTTTCATTTTCAAGGAAAATAAGAAGTGTTGTCATTACTTATAGAACAAGAGCTGTAACTGCATCTGACTTATTTTTTAACTAGTGAAATTAGTATTTGAATACATGAAGAAAAATATCAGGCAAACAGAAACAGACACAATATAGGAATAAAAAAATGTAAGGGAATAAACATAAAACTCTATTCAACTTACATAAAAGAGTAATTTCTTTAATGAGAAAAGAAGTGTCAATTAAAGTAAATAAATTTTGTTGTCACCAATTGAATTGCTAGCTTTTCTGGAGATAAGCAATATTAGCAAATGAAATAACCACACATTGCTGGTCAAGTGTAAGATAATGTCAAAGTATTAGCATTCCTTGAGTTTCTACCAAGAGCAATTATTACTTAACACCAAAAGTGCAGAAGTATAAATAGCTGACTGTATCACAGATAACCAATTATTTGCTGTCCAAAACATTAGCCATGAGCTACAGAGGACTATTTCAATTCAAATTAATGAAAATAAAATAAAATTTAGTTCCCTCAGTCATAGTAGCCAAATTTCAATTGTTCAATAGCCTCATGTGATCAGTGGCTACCATACTGGACATCAGATATAAAGCATTTCCATTAGGCAGAAAGTTCTATTAAACAGCACTAAATGTGGTTAAAATTCCAGCCAGATACTAAGAATTAAAATTGACTTCCTTCAGTTTCATCCAGCTTAAAGTTTCTGAATAGATTTTCTTTTCAAAACATGAGGGATAGGTCAGGTGCAGTGACCCACACCTGTAATCCCAGCACTTTGTGAGGCCAAGGAGGTGGATCACTTGAGGTCAGGAGTTCGAGACCAGCCTGGCCAATATGATAAAACCCATCTCTACTAAAAATACAAAAAATTAGCTGGGCATGGTGGCACATGCCTGTAGTCCCAGCTGCTTGGGAGGCTAACGCAAGAGAATTGCTTGAGCCCAGGAGGTGGAAGCTGCAGTGAGACAAAATCCCATCACTGCACTCCAGCCTGGGTGACAGAGCAAGACTCCATTTCAAACAAACAAAATACGAGGGATATATATTTGTTTGTTCATTAATAATTACTTAAGGTCAGATTTTCAGTTTGCAAATATGTCTAATAATTTGGTTTAGAAAATAATATTAAATTTAAATCATATCCAACAATAAGAAAACTTTGTATGCTGCTACATACTTTTCCCATAATGAATATCATACATGTAAAAATTATTAATGTATAGCTGTATATTTTCATAGCAGCAAGAGATCAGAAATGCAGAAATGATATCAATTTGAGGTTCAAAAATTGATGGTTTTAAACTTAGATCTCAAAGGCCTATAATTATTGAACAGCTAATTACATTACATATCCACTTGAGAACCTGGAATAACTCTCAAATTCATTTTCTTTACATTTTACTTTGTTTTATCTTTGAGTTAAAACAAAATTTAATCTTCAGTTTATAAAAAAAGAAACTTGTTTAGTACCTGAGAAGTTATAAAAACAGATATCAGCCTATGAAAATTAAATAGTGTCAAAATGTTAACTCAATAGGCTGTGATAGGATGTATAAATGGAATATCACTATAAAGAAATGAAGTTGCCTTCATAACCCACACATATAATCAGTATCATCATTTTATACTCACACTCCAGCATAAATAAACTTACACATTCCATATATCATGTTGGTGCAAAAATAATTGAGGTTTTGGCCATTAAAAGCAATGGCAAAAGCCACAATGGCAAAAGCTGCAATTACATTTGCACCAACCTAATACAACACAAAATATCAATTTAATTTTTTAAGAGACAGCATTCCTATTGAGCCTATGTATGTTTCATATGTTTCTTGGTGTACATAGAGCTTTCCATGTGTTATAAAGATATGAATTATTGCATTCAAAACATTTGCCTATACTCTACTAAGTTTCAATACCAGTTTACTATTTACCTACTTCATAATGCAATTTGTTTCCCTGGGGCACAGCATGGTGCTGGGGAGCAAGAAAGGAAGGCTGCGGAGAGTGAGGAAGCTGTGAACGAGAGTGGAGACACTCAATTTCCCCCGCCATGGGAAATTTGGTCTCAGAAGGAAAAGGTACAATTTAAAAAGTAAGCAATCACTCTCCCCAAATATACAAGCACGCATCCCTAACTTAACTGCTAATTTAACTTTAGCAGTGCATGGTCAATTTATTACTGCAAAGCTAAAACTTAAACCATGATAAAAAAATACTTTTTTTTTTTCTTTCATACCTTAAATGTCTTCAGATCTTCTGGTATTAACACATCTGCTTTCACCCATTGGCTGTGAGTTGATATGTTGTATGTCCAAAATATTTCTTCTTCCTTTGATTTGAAGAGAAAGACATCACTCATTACCCGTATTCTAATCTTCACATTTACATACATGCTCTTTTAATTACACTGTAGTAGGTATTACCTTACCTGTATGATATAAAGTACTAGGAAATCTAAAGTCTTGGTAGTAAAATTGAAAAAGCTGAATATCATTAAAAAATAAGAAAATGAAGCATGTTTATGTAGTAAAGCTGCTTTTTGCAGATAAACAGTATTAGGATGGAACAAAAATTTGGATGAAATCTTTTAAAAAAACAGTACTGCGTTTCAAAAATAAAATTCTAAATAACAGTTAATAAGATCAGCAATTAAAATGTTGAACTCAATAACATTATTACATTTTGTAATACTGCCATGATACTAGAAAAGAAAACGTTTACAGGCAAACAATATAAAGGTTAAAAATGTTGTCAGATGCATTTTCTGCACAATTTCAATTTATACTAAATATTTTTTCCTGTGGAAACATTTGGTCCAAATTCCAAACAATACAGATACATTCTGAAAATTATATTCTTAATTTGGTCATTCTATCAAAGGCCTATTTACATCTTTTAGAGAAATCTATGTTATGTACCTGTACAATGATCATTTTTCAGATTGCAAAATCTATGTAAAATTGTTACTACATGCTATGAGTGTAGTAACAAGCCTTTACTGCATTCAAAACATGTATTGAATGTAAGAAACTCAATAAAAGTCTATGGTGAAACTCCATCTCTACTAAAAATACAAAAATTAGCCAGGCGTGGTGGTGGGTGCCTGTAATCCCAGCTACTCAGGAGGCTGAGGCAGGAGAATAACTTGAACCTGGGAGGCGCAGGTTGCAGTGAGCCAAGATGCCACCAGTACTACATTCCAGCCTGGGCGACAGAGCATGAATTCGTCTCAAAAAAACTAAATAAAATAAAAAAGTCTATAAGGTACTCAAAATTTTGTCTACGGCATGTATGGCATTGGTCTTTATGATTTATGTTGATGCTTTTATGCTCTGAAATCTTATTTTTATTTACATTTTATTAGACATTCAAATTCACATTTCTTCCCAAAAATAGAACAAATTGTTCATAATGTTTACATATAGAATGCATGAATTTTTAGGTAACAATATGGTAAAAATGTGAAGATTGACATAATTATGTCTCAGGTTGAGCTCTGAGCCTGGCTCTGTCCCACTTTCTAGCATGAGATAGAAAACGGCCCTGAAAGGCAACATCTTGTTTTAATCCAAATGATACTTGATATCAATATTTGTGTCCTCACTCAGCCTCACATAATTTATGCATGCCCAAGATTTTCTAAAAATGAATCTACTTTCAACTTAGTCCTGCACCCTCAAATGCTTACTCCAAATTTCGAAGACCTAAATATTTCAGAAGATAGTCTAAATCCATTACAATTTACTTCATTACTTATTCATATCAACTGTGAAGATTTCCACAAGACAGTGAAGCACACGGGGTGGACATATTTTCGGCTGATAGCTTTCATGGCGGATCAGGATGAACTGGAGTTATAAAAAGTTGAGACAAGCAACTAATTTTTCTTCTGCTTATTTCTTACACAACTTCAGTTATTTAGCATCACCCTACACAGATGCTTTTAGTGACACCTCTTGGCAAATTGCATTCACCACTTTCCCCGTTTTCATTTTATGAAAATAATTTAGAGCTATTGTGCTCTTATTTCACAGTGACTGATTCCCCTCTGCTCCCCCTGAAGATGGGTGCACTTACATTTTTGAAAAGTGAGCAGTGTTCTTTCCAAACTTAAATGGTTTTTCATAAGCCAAGTTCATAGTACACAGTGAATGAGATCTAGATTTTTCTATACATTTTCCAGTCTGATGGCACTAGCAATGTTTTGTAAAAAGAATTTATTCTAAGTGAAATCAGGTTTCATTTTATTTCTGTTCTTACTCTTCCACTTTCTAGTTACTTTTCACAGGTGTTAATGTAAAAAAGAAATCTCCAACTCAGCAAAGCTTTTCAAGTGATGTTCTACTTTTATCTTAAAATCAGTAAATAATTTTTTAAAAAATATATCTTTGCTCCACCGGTCCAGGATCAATAATGCCGATTTACCTTTCAAGAAAAATATTTAACATATTTATTAACACTCTATCTCTTAGAGATGCCAGTCTATGCTTTTCTCTTCCAGTGAAGAAATCAAGGGTACCAAAGTCAATGTTGTTGAGTTTCACTACTTTTGATCGCATCTAGGAATAAGACCATGTAATTTGGTAAAGAATTACAAGTAAATTTGGTTGTAAAGAAAAATTACATGTAAATTTATTGGTAAATAATTACATGGAAACCCTACACAGAACAAAAGTAGGCTGTTGCTATGAGTATTATTTTATAGATCATGGACGCAGATCTAACCCAATAATGGTTAGATGGTACAAACTATAATTGCTACACACTTGAGCTGATTCTAAAGAGTGAACTTTTTATTTAACAACTTGCCTTCACCTGAGTTTTTCACTTCTCAAGTTCTAATGTCCTCTGGAAATAAAGAAAACAACCTTCAGCATTCTTGCTAGATATTTCTTGGCTTATCTCCTCACATTTATAGAGTAATAGATATTCACAACACAAAACAGCATTCTATTCATGGAAAGATGTAAATCATCATTTTCATCAAGAGCCACTTTTTTAAATGATAGGTTTGGAGTCCTTTTAAGTGTGTGATAAAACATTGACTTGGGACTTAAATGTACTTTGATGCAGATTTTGCATCAGCGAGCAACATATGTATAGAGGATAGCAAATAGTGTCAGAAAAGACAGGACACCTCACAGGATACTAACAAATCAAACATCAGTCAACAATCTCTAAGATGTACATCCATTTGGTTCTGGTTAATACACTAGATCATTTCCCTATGATTAACTTCTTTTCTTATAATATGAGAGACAGAATCTTGATAACTGTATTACTGATTAATAGAGTTAATGATGTGTGGTATCTAACGTCATTTTTATATGATGTAACACTTGAAGCCAATTTGTTTTCACTCTTTTCTTGTATGGTTCTAAAGCCACCAGAAGAATGGCATGGCTCATTTTCAGTAATTCCAATCTATATACATTCATAATTACATACATACTAAATACATACATTCATAATTACAAAATACATATACACATTCATAATTACATACACAATACATACATTCATAATTAAATACACAATTCCATTCTACATGTATTGAAACTTTTAAAATACATCACTCATTTTCAGAGCAGATTAAAATAATCCTCAGGATTAGACCATATTATAATACAAATTTCCACTTAAATTTAGGCTAAAAATTCATTCAATTTTCATGAAATAATTAATTATCTGTCATCTGAAAAGCATTACCATAGGTCCACATATATAATTTAACCATTTGAACTGTAATTTAAACTCATCGAAATTATTCTAGAATTTCTCTACTATGCCTTTATTGAAGAAGGAGTTGGAAATTATAGAATGTTGTAGATTGCATGGAGGCTTGCTGGGATTGGTTCAAACAGCACAGGTGACAGCAACTGAAATATTGAGGCATGAATGGTGGAACATACGTGGATACAGTTAAATTTTTTCTCTCTTCCTTTTTGGTAAAATTGATCCCACGTATCTGGACAGTTTGTAATGCTGCAGGAAGGATAGGGAGATGTTGTCCCCTTTTCTTCCTCCCCCCACACGTTACCAAATGGAATGAAATATATTAAATAGATTGCAGGGCAGTGACTACAAAGTACTATTGCAAGAAACACAAAAACATAACAAGTTCCAGAATGCCAGGAAAATTATATCTCATCCAATTAAAAAAGAATTTATATACATATGTATATTACTTTATATATCTATATGTGTGTATATGGATGTGTGGGGAGATAGAGATATATATATATATCACATCCACATATCTACAGATATGTGATATATATATGACATCCATATTTATCTATATATTTATATCTATATGGATGTGTAGAGATATATATCTATAGTCATCTCACATACATATAGATGTAATTATGTGAATCATATAAATCTGGATACATAAAATAATAAATATATTATTTGTTATATATTATATTACATATAATTATACATTATATATTATTTATTATGAATATATTTATTCATCTCCAGTTTCTGGCAGATAGTTCCCAAAAACCTGTTAATTTCCTAATCAATAGGGATGTTAATGGAATCTTATGGGACTCATCACCAGAAAGATCAAGCTATGATTAGAAGCTTGGAACTTTCAGCCCCACCTCTTTGGGGAAGAAGAGAGGGGCTGGAGATTGAGCTAATAAATGATCATACCTATGTGACAAATCCTCTATACAAATTCCTGAAGTACAGGTTTCAGAGAGCTTCTAGATTGCTGAACGCATTTTGGTTCCTAGAGGGTGCACACCTGGGAATGCATGGAAGAGAAGCACCACCCCTCTTCCCACATACTTTGCCCTATTCATCTCTTCCATATGGTTGTTCAACTACATTTTTAATACTAAATGGGTAACATGAGTAAAGTGTTTTCCTGAATTCTGTGAGCCATCCTAGCAAATTATCAAACCTAAGAAGGGGGTCATGGGAACTCCAATTTATAGCTGGTAGGTAAGAGGCACAATAGGAAGCTTGTGATTGACATCTGAAGTAGGGGTAGTCTTGCGGGCCTGAGACCTCAACCTGTGGAATCTGTACTATCTTCATGTAGCAGTGTCAGAATTGAGGCAAATCAAAGGACACTCAGTTGGTGTCCACTAGAGAACTGAATTGCTGTGTTGGAAAAAAAACATGCATCTGGTGTCAGAAGTGAGATATTGGGAGTGCTGAGTGCGTAAGAGTAGAAAAAGCAGGGTGTTTTCCTATACTATGGAATCAGCTGTCAGTTTGTTTTTATCTGTTATACTAATTGGAGTACTCACCCAGCTTTACACTTTAGAACTCATCGAGCATATTGGACAAGGAGAGAGAGAAGAAGAATGGACTCACTCTACCCAGTGTGCCATTGTTCAATATTTAATCAATAATTACCAGTCTTAAAAATTATGTCTACTGCTACCCAAACAAGTAAGTTTTAACCATTATATTTATAGTTCTAATGATATACAGATGTAATGTCCAAAACAGATCACATCAGAGCTTCAATACAGAGCTCATAATACAGAATCTCAGCTATCCCATTTTTATTAGATCTATAGTTTCTTTAATATACTTCCATGAATTTTGAAAACTTTATGAAATAATATTGGGCAAGTTATCACATTAACTTTTGTACATGAGAGTGTCCCCTATCCTAGTTTCTTAATCATTCTTTTTAAAAGTATACCAAGTAAAGTCAAGTTAAAGAATAAAAGCCTATGCGCAACTGAGAAATCGAAACACAAGTTGCCAAGAGTTAGAAACTTCATTGATTCAATGAATTTGAAATAAATGCAACTTTCTTCTTACCTTATTATTATACAGTCTTACTCTCAGGACACTGCTTTCCATTGCATAATAGAATTGAAGATGACAGCTCTTGCCCAGGCAATGACACACAGAGCTATTTAGGTAAGCCCTGCTGTCTAAATGGTTAAGAGTGAAACCATGCTTAGCGCCTACCCATACATAATAACCTGAAAGATAAAAGAAAAAAGAAGCAATTTAGGAAAACATTAGCTTCTTTCTGTCTGACTAAAACTATTACATTTCTGAAGTTTTCAAAACTAGACTTAAAACACAAATATTTTACTTAAAAGGATAGAGCGTTTTCAAATGATTACATCAACTACAAATAACAGGTTTTCATTTTTATATATTATTTCCAATATGTAGAGAAATCTCCTAATTTCTATAATCAAAATTTGATAACACCCTTTTGTAAAAATTCAAGATTCCTATAAAAGAAACCTACATATACAAATTGCTATACCACCAAATTATTGCCATTTTCTTTTAAATATCACAATTCAATCCTTTTTTTAATCAAGAATTTCTCTTCATCCTTCCAGAATTCTTGCCCCTCTGGATGATTTTTTGATTTACTTTTTGTAGAAAATCCTTTATAGTTTTAGGAAATACAACTTAAAATGTCTTCTTTCTTACCAAGCCACATAGAGGTATGAGATATCTACAGTCCTTTTAAACGTCACCTATGGATTTTGTTTTACATAAATATATTGTAAATAAATTTTTCCCCATCTGATATTTAAAACCAATTTGAGCTGTTCTTGAACTTAATAACAATGACAACACAGATTTATAAAGAGATTTCTATAATTTTACAACTTCATTTTCAAAAATAAAGTCTGAATTGCTTCTTCATGCTACTGAAACTGCTGCACGTCTCTGATGTTTATTTAAAAAGAAGTCTCTAAGGAAACCCAAATACAACAAGAAAGACAAAAACAAGAACATGAGAGCAAATTTTAGCCTCAGATATTTACAGCTACAGCAAATACTAAGCATAATATGATCCTTAACTGCATAAACGTAATGTAAAAGCTTACACTATTTACATTAATGTCTTTTGCACAGTAAATCATGCCTGACTTTCAACAAAAAATTACAAGGCACCTGCAAGGCAAAAAGCAGTTTGAAAAGAGTAATTCTAAAAAGTAAAGTCTATTAATCTTTTTAAAAATAGTCTGTACACTATTCACAATAGCAAAGACATGGAATCAACCCAAATGCCCATCAATGATAGACTGGATAAAGGAAATGTGGTACATATACACCATGGAATACTATGCATCCATAAAAAGGAATGAGATCATGTCCTTTGCAGGAGCATGGATGGAGCTGGAAGCCATTATCCTGAGCAAACTAATGCTGGAACAGAAAGCCAAGTACCACATGTTCTCACTTATATGTGGGAGCTGAACAACTTGAACACAGACACAGGGAAGGGGAACAACACACACTGGGGACTGTTGAGGGGTGAGGGGAGGGAGATCATTGGGATAAATAGCTAATGCACGCTGGTCTTAATACCTAGGTAATGGGTTGACAGGTGCAGCCAACCACCACAGCACATGTTTACTTATGTAACAAACCTGCACATCCTGCACATGTAGCCTGGAACTTAAATAAAATAAATAACCATAATAATAATATTACTGCTACCCCCAAAAAATAAAAAAAAATAAAAAATAATAATCTGCACAGTAAAATATATAAATATAATGCTAAAGACAGCAAAAACGAATTACATTTATAAATTGTAGAAAAAAGAAATTAAATTTCATGCAATTCTAATACATTCTATTAAAAACATATTAAGATACACTAGGAAATAAATAAGAAAATATTAGCAAGTATACACTTAAAACAAAAATAAATTAAGACTTTAAATTAAATGCCCAATAGGCAGAATATAACCTAGACTGGCCATAGTGTCAAAGAGAAAATTCATGTACCAGAAGCCCTGAAATGTAACTCAAAATAGAGTAAATTATATAGAAAATAAAAAGGAGGAGTCAGGTTATGGAGTGTGAACATTAGTTGTGTTTAATAGAAACTCAAGATGAAAAGATTAGAGGGAGTAAGAGAGAATTACTTGAATAGAATAACATAATTTCTGCAAGTGATGATATATGTGCATTCTGAGCATTAAAAATTAAACGTATACTCATTCCTGCACTCATCATACTGAAATTTTCAAATAACAAAGATAAAGAAACATTTTTAAAATCTGCATTAAACTAAAAACCATTACATGCACTCAGACTTCTCTGTCACTACAGCACATATCAGGAGCTAAAGAGGGAAAATCACCCTGTACTTAGAAATTAAAAAAAAAAAATTCTAAAATTGTATGACCAGATAAATTATTATTTCGAAGTGAGAACAATTTTAAAACATTTTAAGTTTACAGGTACTATGGGAGCTCATCACCACAGATCTTTTCTAAATAAAAGAAAAATTGATTAAAGAGTCAACCTTTGCAAGGGGATAAGGGAACCAAGAAGGAAAGCATAAAATCTAAAAAACAATGGTGAGTAAGAAAAATAATGAAATATATAAACTTAATAATTACAAGTATCATAACAAGATATTGACTTTAAAACTCTTTAAAATGTTCAACTGTAACTCAGGACCAAAAAATAATTAAATGATAGTTTGGTCTTTCTCATGTTCAAGAAGGCAGAAATAGTAGAGCACTTTAGGTTTTGTTAAAGAAATTTCATATAAAGAATATACCCTAAAAATTAAGAATAGTCATAACAATAGGCTATATAAATTAAAGCTTCCAGATCAGTGAAAAAAATAAAAATAAAAATGTAACAATACTCACCCCTCCAAGAAAAGGAAGAAAGAAAAAAAAGCAAAAAGAATAAAAGTAAACAGAAAATACAAATTAATATGTTAGCAAGAGGAAGAAACTCATTGACAACAGAGCAGTGTTGAAAGAGAGAAAGAAAGAAAGAAAGAAGGAAGGAAGGAAGCATGGATGGAAGGAAGGAAGGAAGGAAGGAAAGAAAGAAAGAAAGAAAGAAAGAAAGAAAGAAAGAAAGAAAGAAAGAAAGAAAGAAGGAAGGAAGGAAGGAAGGAAGGAAGGAAGGAAAGAAAGAAAGAAAGAAAGAAAGAGAAAGAAAGAGCTGGCCGACTTGGCCGGGCATGATGGCTCAAACCTGTAATCTCAGCACTTCAGGAGGCTAAGGTGGGTGGATCACTTGAGGTCAGGAGTTTGATACCAGCCTGGCCAACATGGTGAATTCCTGTCTCCACTAAAAATTCAAAAATTAGCCAGGCATGGTAGCACGTGCCTGTAGTCCCAGCTGCTTGGGAGGCTGAGACAGGAGAATCACTTGAACCCAGGAGGCGGGGGTTGCAGTGGGCCGAGATCTCACCACTGCATTCCAGCCTGGGTGACAGATTGAGACTCTGTCTCAAAAAAAAAAAAAAAAAAAAAAAAAAAAGCCTTTTAATACTTTTTGTTCACACGATAATAAATCCTGAAGGAAATAATAAAACTTAAAAAATATTGTTAACCTAGTATAATTCTTGTTTTACACTGTTGGAAACATAATTGTTATTTTCACCTTCAGCTCCTTTGGCAGAATGTATTTTCAATAAAATATACTCAGTATATTCACCAAGGCCTCCTATGTAATGTCTTATAACTAGTCACCATAAAGCAGAATTCTGAAAGTAATACATAAAAGATATTATTTTTTTTTCTACCTTCATCATCACCTCCTTGATCCTGCTGAGGTGTGGATTCGAATGCAGGGATCTCTCTCGCTTTTGTGCGCATCCAGGAAATTTGGCCAGCAGATGCTTCTGACGTCCACTCACACATGTCAAATTCAAACCCACAGGCCTGACACACTAAACGGGAGAAAAAGATCTTGGTGGACTATTAGTCTGCTAGAGTGGCTGCTTAACCAAGTTATGTGTTGTAATCAACCAAAAAGCTTATATACACACATACACATCAGCACACACTAATTTATATCTGCAAGTTTGGATTCAATAAGCCTTCGAGTGTACCAGCAACTCCATTTTGCAAAAATTTCTCAGTTGATCCACATGTACAATATCCTCTCAAATGTGACCCATTGCCATAGAAAAAGGAGATTCCTAGTTTTTGTTGTATGTGTCACCACTTCAGTCACAATATGTTTTAATTTTTTTAAGAGACAGGGTCTTGTTCTGCCACCCAGGCCAAATGCAGTGGTGCAATCATAGCCCACTGTAGCCTTAAACTCCTGGGCTCAAGCAATCTTCCAGCCTCAGCCTCCCAAGTAGCTAGGACCACAGGTGCATGCCACCATGCTCAGGTGATTCTTTTTTTTTTTTTTTTTTTTTGGTAGAGATGACATCTTGCTATATTGCCCAGGCTAATTTTGAGCTCTTGGCCTCAAGCAATCCTCTCATCCCGGCCTCCCAAAGTGCTGGGATTACAGGCATGAGCCACCATACCCAGTCAACGATTTTTAAAATGGCTTTATATTTTACCTTATCTACTTTATGGGATTAGATTAGTTAGTTTAAATTATTTACTATTCATAATCACACTGAAATTTTATAGAAGAAACATTGCATATCATTCCACAGTGGCTTTAGTTTGTTTCACAAAATGACATCGCCTTAAATTGATATATTTAGTATAAACCACCACAGCCTCCCAAAAACACTCCAGCTAAAACTAGGACATTAATGTCAACAAAGGTTGGCGCGTGCACTTTCCTGTGAGTGGTCTGAGTCTCACATATTGCATATATACCAGAAAAGTGAATATCTCAATTTAACACTTACATCTCAACTCTTCATCTGTAGCATCAAATCTGCAGAGATCTGTATCTGGATGGCATAGCTCCCGCTCAGCATTCAATGCTTCTTGACACAGTAAAATTCCATCTGTTAAATTTAAAGATTGGCAAGAAGTGAAATGCAGGTGCAACTGGAAAGACTCAAGTATTTTGCTTTAATGTTAATATTCATTCTACAAAGCACTCTGTAACCAATTTCTCTTTATGGTATCATCACCCTTTAGGTAACCCTATCTCTTTCTCTCTCTCTCTCTCACACACACACACACACACATACACACCACTCAAATAGAGACAGAGAAAAACAGAACAAAACAACTATGCCAATGTTTCAGAATTTTAATCATATCTCCATAATGACAGGCAAGCCCCAAAGCCAATCCTTCATAGGAGTAAAAAAATTGCCCTAATGTTGGAACTCAGAGTCTACTATTTGAAGGACAGTTGTACATGTGTCCAATACAAGATATGGCGCCCCTTAAACCTGGAAGGTGGATCTTCCCTGGAACTGCTTTCTCTGGAGCTTTCTCAAATTGTGCCTGTTGGCCGGCCATGGTGGCTCACACCTGTAATCCCAGGCATGGGCTGGCCTTTGGGAGGCCAAGGAGGGTGGATCACCTGAGGTCAGGAGTTCAAGATGAGCCTGGCCAACATGGTGAAACCCCGTCTCTATTAAAAATACAAAAATTATCTGGGCGTGGTGGCAGGCATCCATAATCCCAGCTACTAGGGAGGCTGAGGCAGGAGAATTGCTTGAACTCAGGAGGTGGAGGTTGCAGTGAGCAAAGATCACGCCACTTCACTCCACCCTGGGTGACAGAGTGAGACTCCATCTCAAAAAAAAAATTGTGCCTGTGTTTTTGTTTTCTTTTCCCCAAGCCCCCCAATATAAGACTTGAAGGTAGACTAGGAGTCCTTTCTGCCCATACCACTTGCAGACAATTCTCCCTCTGATCTTCCTAAATACCCAAGCTTTGACTCTCATGTCAAATGGCACCCCTCACTGTTCCAGCTTGTTACAATCACCTACAGACACTGTAGGTGAGCCCTGAGGATGCCCTGCCCCTCAACACCTGAACATTCTAGCTCTGAGCTCACTGTCATTCTCTGTCATGTAAATATTCACTTTTATTTGCTTCTCAGTTTCTTGATCTCTTCTTATTGATGACTTTGAAGGAGAACTTTGATGAAAAACAACCTTTGCCACCACTCTTCAAAAGGAGTATTACCATTACTAATGATGATAACGTTTCCTTGTCTTCATTTCAAGTGGTCCACTCCCCAACCATCAGCCCTATCTGTCCAGCTCACTTCTTTTCATATCTCTACTCTAACAATATTTCAGCTGCGCCAGGTTCTACAAGCCCAGGATCCTAAATTATTTTCAGTTATTTCCCTCACCTATCTTGTCTTCATTTCCTTTATTAGAGATGTCAGACAAGCAATCACTCCCTGGCCATGCTCATACTTCTCCATACTCTCATGGCAAAAACTCTAGAAAATACATCCCTTCACTTACTCTAGCCTGTATCTGTGCAGCTGAATGAGTGAAGAAATCATGCAGATTTCACTTTGTTCACAATCATGCAGACTGAAATGACTTCGTATTCATGACTACTCACTCCATTGGCATCAGGGTGACCCTCATTCTTTCCTTTTCCGCTTTCCTAGACAACTATTCAAAGCTTTCTATTCCCTCTTTTAACTTCCAGCTCTTCCTTCCCTATTGTCATTCTCAGCTCACCACCTTGCTTCACATTTCATTGGGAAAATGAGAGAAATCAGAAGAAAACTTTACAAGTCCCATCATCAATCTCACTGGCCAGCTGTCCACATGCTTTGCCCCCTGTAGGAGCGGGTCAACTCTCCATGCCCTTCTCTGGATGACGTCTTCCATTTAGACAGAAATTTCATCTCTGCTCGGCTATTTAAGGAATCATACTGCCAATTTCCTCTCCTCTCATTTACAACGATGTGTTCTCTTTCTCTACAAGATCATTTCCTTCAGGACCTAAATGGCCAAAACTTCATCCATCTTAGAAAAACATTCTCCTGATCCGACAACCTTCTCCAACTAACTTCTCAAAGTTCTGCCTATTCTCACACTGACTCAAACACCAGTTCTTTCCCCTCCTATTCTCTCTTGAACCTATGTCAATAACAGTTTTTTTAATTGAGATAAACTTCACAAAACATATCATTAACCATTTCCATTTTATCTATTTTAAAGTGTACAAGTAGGCTGGGCACAGTGGCTCACAACTGTAATCCCAGCACTTGGGAGGCCGAAGCAGGTGGATCACTTGAGTTCAGGAGTTCGAGACCAGCCTGGCCAACATGGTGAAACCCCATCTCTACTAAAAATACAAAAATTAGCAAGGCATGGTGGCACACGCCTGTAATCCCAGCCAGGAAATCTGAGGCAGGAGAATTGCTTGAACCCAGGAGGCGGAGGTTGCAGTGAGCCGAGATCGCACCACTGCACTTTAGCCTGGGCAACAGAGTGAGAGTCCAACTCAAAAAAAAAAAAAAAAAAGGCCGGGCACAGTGGCTCACGCCTGTAATCCCAGCATTTTGGGAGGCTGAGGCAGGTAGATCACCTGAGGTCAGGAGTTCAAGATCAGCCTGGCCAACATGGCGAAACTCCGTATCTACTAAAAATACAAAAATTAGCCAGGTGTGGTGTTGCATGCCTGTAGTCCCAGCTACTCAGGAGGCTGAGACAGGAGAATCAGTTGAACCCGGGAGGCAGGGTTGCAGTGAACTGAGATCGTGCCACTGCACTCCAGCTTGGGCAACAAGAGCGAAACTCTGCTTCAACAACAACAACAAAAAAGTGTACAAGTCAGTGGCTTTTATTAAATTTGAAATGTTGTGCAATCATCAAACTACCTAATTCCAAGACATTTTCATCACCTGTACCCATCAGTCACTTCACCATTCTCTCTTCTCCCCCTACCCTGGCAGCCACTACATCTGCTTTCTATCTCTATGGATTTGCCGACTCTGCTATTTCACATAAATGGAATCATGCAGGCTGTAGCCTTTGTGCTTGGTTCCTTTCACTCAGCAAAATGTTTTTGAGGTTCATCCATGTTGTAGCATGGATCAGTATATTATTCCTTATTTGTTTGTTTGTTTTTTCGTCACCTTTACCACTCCCCTGAAACTGCATATATCAAGATTGACCTCTATATTGCTAAATCTCATATTTAATTTTTTTCATCAACATATTTGACATATCAGTAATATTGGACAGAGCTGATCCCTCCCTTTTTCTTGAAATATTTTCTTCACCAGGCTTTTGCATAAAACTCTTTTCTGGTTTTCTGATTGTGTTACCACCTATTTTTTTTCTCAGTCTCTCTTGTGGTTTTCCCTCATCTGCTCAACATGAGACTGCCTGGAAGCTCAGTCCCTCCATCTCTTCTCCTCTCTACACACCCACAACCTTGTTAATATCAGCTAGTCACATGCTATTAAACCCTTTCCTAAATGCTGGTGACTCATAAAATTATACCTCAGGCCCAAAATTTTTGTGGACTCCAACTCTACACTCCAGCAGTATCCTGCTACTGACTTAAGCCTCTTCCCTCGGGTCACAGAAATAGGTCTAAATCTTGAAACCGCCTTTGCAAAAGTATGACTGAGACAGTGAAAGAGATCTAATTTAATCGACTCCATCTTGCTTCTAACTTCCAAGCTGTCCTTGCTCATTCCTGGGTGGAGACTGGACTAACTTTGGGAGGAACTTAGTTTATAGTTTAAACAAGGATGGTAACAGCCCTTTCCCAAAGCAGACCTCTTTCTTGTCTGGGGACTAGACTGCCTTTGTAGGACTAACATTAGTCACAAGAATAGAAATTATAGTTTAGGAGTCATGCAGCTGGAGGCTACAAGATTCTGACCCTCCCTAAACTGCTTCTAAGATCAGTGCTTGACATATTTCACAGAACCGGCACTTGATGGATCAACTGGCACCATCCAGGTCAATAAATTGGCTCATCTGATCTTGTGGCCTCAACCCAGGAACCGACTGAGCACAAGAAGACAGCTCCGACTTCCTGTGATTTCATCTCTGACCAGTCAGCACTCCTGGCTCACTGGCTTCCCCCAACCCACCAAGTTATCCTTAAAAACTCTGATCCCTGAATGCTCAGCGAGACTGATTTGCATGATAATATAACTCCAGTCTCCCACATAGCCGGCTCTGCGTGAATTACTCTTTCTCTATTGCAATTCCCATCTTGATGAATTGGCTCTGCCCAGGCAGCTGGCAAGGTGAACCCCTTGGGCGGTTACTACCTCAATAAACCTCTGATTTTTCTCAACATAAACTTTCTCTTCCCACAGCCTTTCTTATCCCAGTTAATGAAACTCCATCCTTCTAGTTAAGGCGAGAAATTTGGGGTCTTCCATGACTCATCTCTTTCTCTCTCTCTCACCAAACATGCAATCCATCAGCAAATTTCTGCATTATCAATAAAACACATCCAGAATCCAACTACATCTTATGACCTCCACTACTACTACCAACTCTGGCTCAGGAAACATCATCTCTTTCCTGATCATCTTAGTAACTTCTTAATTTGTCTTTCTGTCCTTGTCCCTGCTCCACTATAATCTTGAGGGTCAGATCATGTCTCCTCTGCTTAAAGCCCTTCCATGGGTTTTCATCCTATATGAAGTAAACATCAATGCCTTACTATGACCTTCCTCATATAAACCAAGGCCTCTTTCCTCAAGGCCTCTGCATTTATAGCTGGATATATAAATAAAAAAATTAAATCCTAAGCCCCAACCATCTGAATGGACTCCTCCTCTCATCTACAGACATTCCGAAGTTAACCTGTAAAACTAGTTCAGGCCATGATGGGAAAGTGAAGCCAGACATGCCTCATTATACCCTCCTCCCTTTTGCAATTACTGGTAGAACAAACTAAGTATGATAAGAAACATCTACAGTCTATTTTCTCTGAAGCTTGCTATCTGGAGGCTTCATCTACATGATAAAACCTTGGTCTCTACGAGCTCTTATTGTAACTTACACATTACTTTCTATTGATTCCAGGTCTTCAGATAATAACTCAACCAATGGTCAACCAGAAAATCTATGAATCCACCTATGACCTGGAAGCCCCCTCTTCCAGTTGTTCTGCCTTTCTAAACTCAACCAATGTACATCTTGCATTCATTGATTGATATTTTATGTCTCCCCAAATTGTGTAAAACCAACTTGTAGCCCAACCACCTTGGGCACCTGTTCTCAGGATCTCCTGAGGACTGTGTCATGAGCCATCGATCACTCATGTTTGGCTCAGAATAAATCTCTTTTAATATTTTACAGAGCTTGACTCTTTTTGTCAACATATCTAATATTCACATGGCTTATTTCCTCTACTGTTTGGCTATTTTTCTCAGGTGATATGTTTTAATGTGACCATACTGACTATTTAAACATCACCATCTCATCCTCATTTCTAGAACTTCTTATCACAGTTTTTTGCTTTACTGTTCTCCATAGCAAATATCACCACTTGACATAAACTATATTTTTTATTTATTTGCTTAGTGCCATTTTTCTCCCTGACTAAATTGTAAGCTTGGTGAACGCAATGATTACTATTTGCTTTTTCACCGCTATCACACGACTATCTAAAAAACTTATTGGCATAATAGGTGCTCAATGTATACTTGTTTGATAAATGAATAAATGGCCTAAGAACAACCTGATGAAAAATTTTAAAACATTGTAGACTCAATATACATCATGTTCACTTTTATTTGTGATAAAACTGAAGCAATTGGTTATGGAAATGATTTATGAATGCATCCACAATCTGGTTTCTCATAATGGGAGTTTACAAATGATGAATATGCAAATCCTCTTGAATGTAAGATGCACTGAAAACAAAGCTGCATATGCAACTAAGGGAATGTTGGCAATAAATGAAGCTAAGATTGCACAATAACGATTACCATGAAACAATTAAAACTGTAATTTTTGTAGATTCATATAATAGCTACAAATCTTCTGTCCCTAGAGCTACATAACTAAATATTGGTCATAGTTCAGTTAAATGTTGTATATTATCTCTAATTCATCACTATTTACACAAGACAAAAAAAAAAACCCAGAAGTACTATAAACAAAAATAGCAAAACAGTTGAGTACAAATTGCATGGAATTAAAAACGTAGCTCTTGTCAAATGTATTACATTTCTTTCACCAGTGTCTACCACTTTAACTACCTTTGGCCTGAAAACTGGAATTTACAACCATAAAACCAGTGGTATATGAGTAAGTATTTTGGCCTGGTATGCATAAATTGTCAATTAATAAATCTGGACAGCTCTTTTTATTTTAGTGCATTCAATCCCAGAGCTCAAAGCTATTTAAAGATGTCAGTTATTTATACTCATATTAATTCTCCCTTCTTCCCTCTCTCCTCTCACTCTTTCTTTCTTCTTTTTTTTTTTTTTTTGAGACAGAGTCTCACTCTGTTGCCCAGGCTGGAGTGCAGTGGCACAATCTCGGCTCACTGCAACCTCTGCCTCTCAGGTTCAAGCGATTCTCCTGCCTCAGCCTCCCCAGTAGCTGGGACTACAGGGGCCCGCCACCACGCCTGGCTAATTTTTGTATTTTTAGTAGAGATAGGGTTTCGTCATGTTGGCCAGGTTGAGGCTGGTCTCGAACTCCTGACCTCAGGTGATCTGCCCACCTCAGCCTCCCAAAGTGCTGAGACTACAGGTGTGAGCCACTGTGCCCAACTCTTTTTCTCTTATTCTTACTTTGTACCACAATCTGGCAGTACAATATTATTTTAGGGGTTTTCAAATCCTCCATCAGTGATACATGATTAGTGGAATAAGGCTTTGCCAACCATTTCAAGGTGTCTGTACCACTGAAGTCACATGTCTAGGGCCTGCCATCCTTCAAATCTTATCTTGCACAAACAGATTAAATGAAATTGTCCCGACTCTCTCAGAGGGTAGAAAATGAAGTCCAAGTCTCAAGGCCATTGTGGTAAAAGTTATAATTGACATCCAGTTTTTACTCCAGAGGTTTTAGACAATGTGTCAGTTATCCTTATTTGTAGTGGATTTCAAGGAAGGAACAGTTACTGTCTCTTAAAAGAAAACTGGAAGCTACTAAAATAAAAAAGGTCCTTAGTTATTTAACTGGATAATATATATGCATCATTCAGATTCTAATAAAGGGATGATTGGTATATTTGAGGGCTTTACAAATGAGACTTAGGCAAAGTCCTGAAAAACCAATCTAAAAATATTCACAGAATATTCAAAATATTCTGATTGTGAGCCACAGCATGAAATCGTTATACAAAATTATAATCAGCTGTTTCTTTAAGAATCAGTGTTATTCAAGAATCAGTGATTAAACATGTTCTTATTTAATCACAATAGCAAGGCTTGATTTTTTTTTCATACTAGCTACTTTGGTAAAATCTAAAGTGATCCTCTTTTCAATAAATGTACAATAAAATTTCATATCTTGGAAGGGGCAGAGGTTAGAACGGTATTGTTTGAAAATCTGGAAATAGGCTAAACAATTTCTTTCATATTAAAAATTAGTTTTATTGTCCAACTTGCAAAGTGTTCAGAAACTGTGAAAATACCTAATACTAAGCAGTTTTATAAATAAAATAGCTTATATGTATTTTTTTCTTTTTTCTTTTGTTTGAGATGGGATCTCACCCTGTCACCCAGGCTGGAGTGCAGTGCCGTGATCTCAGCTCACTGCAACCTCTGCCTCCTGGGTTCAAGCGATTCTCCCGTCTCAGCCTCCCCAGTAGCTGGGATTACAGGTATGTGCCACCACACCTGGCTAATTTTTATATTTTTAGTAGATACAGGGTTTCACCATGTTGCCCAGGTTGGTCTCGAACTCCTGACCTCATGATATATTTTTATAGTAAAGAGAAACATATATGGTAAAATAATAGTTTCATTTTCATAAATAAGAGTATAATAAATAAGCCATATATTATAAACTTCCTCATCTCAGAATTATTCAACTTTAAAAGTTGGTCATTTCATTTTCAAATTTATTTATAAATTTACATATGGTAAAGTTCCTATTTTCCAGTATTCAGCTCTATGAGTTGTTTTTTACTTTTAAAAAAAAAAGCTTTTATTTTAACTTCGGGGTACATATGTGGGTTTGTTATATAGGTAAATTCGTGTCATGGGGGTCTGTTATACAGATTATTTGGTCACCCAGAGTATAGACCTCCTCTTGGGTGTCTCTAGACACCTCCTCTCCAAGAAGAGGGAGCACGTGGGAAAGTCCCAGCGTCAGTCAGGAGGCAGAGGAAGAGGAGTGAATTGTGGGTAAGAAACTTTCTTCTGGTTTCTAGGAGAAGAAGCAGGGGAGGCAGGGTAAGCAAGCCTAGGACTGGCTAGTTTTAATGATGTCAGCAGGCCCTAGAACATAGAAGCTGTTTCTAGTTGTCTGGAACTTGGTTATTATGGGCTAAATCATGCCTCCCAAAATTCCTATGTTGAACTGTTAACCCAAAGTACTACTGAAAGTGACTGTATTTGGAAATACAGCCTTTATAGAGCTAACTAAGGTAAAATGAGGTAACCAGGGTGGCCCTAATCCAATATGGCTGGTGTACTTAAACTAGAGTTTAGGTCATAGTCAGGTATAGAATGACCATGTGAAGACACAGGGAGAAAACAGCCATCTATAAGCCAAGAAGAAAGGACACAAAACTCAATCAATCCTGCTGACATTTTGAACTTGGATGTCTGGCCTCAATAATCAAGAAAAAATAAATTTCTATTGTTTGAGTAACACAGTCTGAGGTACTTTGTTATGGCAGCCATAATAGACTAATATACTAGCCCTGAGGTGTGTAGGGCAGGTGCATAGTGGTCCACATATGTGAAAAGAAGTCTTTTTAGGAAATCTAAATATCATTTTTTTTTCCAGGACAGAGTCTTTTTTTGTCACCTAGGCTGGAGTGCAGTGGTGCCGTCTCAGCTCACTGCAACCTCCACCTCCCAGGTTCAACCCTCTGGAGTAGCTGGGATTACAGCTGCACGCCATCATGCCCAGCTAATTTTTGTATTTTTAGTAGAGATGGGGTTTCACCATGTTGGCCAGGCTGGTCTCGAACTCCTGACCTCAAGTGATCTGCCCACCTCAGCCTCCTAAACAATCATTTCTATAAACCAAAAAGACTTACCACAAGACGGCTATGTTAGAACTTAAGTCCACTCATTTTCTTTAAGTCCACTCATTTCTAAATACAATATTTCTGTTATAATATGGCAAAAGTACCTGTATGTCTATTAAAATATGGGAAATGCTTGGCCCAGATTAATTCTTCTTCAATAAAGCCTCATTATATAGTTTGAGGACTTAGCTTCATTTTTCATACTAAAACAAAAACCTAGAAATAATATAATATTCTTAGCACAAATGTAAGTACTGTTAAAAACATCTTCCCCTGATATTTTATTTAAATCTGCTTTTTTATGGAATAGAGCATATGTATCTCACAAGGAAGAAGAAATAATCCAAAATCTCAAATATTTGGCATTTGAATAACTGCACATGTTCTTTGTTCAATCATTTGGTCAATCTGTATTTATTAAGTGCTTGTTCTGTTCTAGGGTCCACAAATGAATTAGACAGGGTAGGAACTATGCCTCAAGGCACTTAGAATTTAGTCATGGAGATAAATCAATACACATGTGTCTGTGTGTGTGTGTCTGTGTGTGTGTGTGTGTGTGTGTGTGTGTGTGTGTGTGTAGGGGGTGGTAGTGGCAATGTGGAGGGATAGTCTACAAGGGAAAATTCCCTGCACAAGAAACCTCAACTCACAAGAAACTTTTGCTCAGAAACCTGAGCATAAATGGTGGAAGGACATATCAAAAACAAAGAAAAAAAAGAAAGAAAGAAAGAAAAGGAAGGAACAAAGAAGGCAGAAGGGAGAAGAAGGAAGAAAAAGGAAAGGAGAGGAAGAAGGCAAGGGAGGTGGAGGAAGGAGGGAGGAGAAATGTAGGAGGAGGACAGAGGGGAGAGGAATGGGGAGAAAAGAGGGAAGAGAAGGTGGGGAGTATAGGGAGAGGATGAAGGAGAGGAAAAATGAGAAGAAGAAGAAAAAGAAAAGTCATGGAATGAGGCTTTCGGGCAGAGGAAAAGAGGTTTGCATAATACCCAGGAATTAGAGGACACTGCGTTGCTGAACTCACAAGTAATTTGTTTTGACCAGAGTATGGGATTCTTGGGGGAATTGTGAAGGAGGACATTGGACTACTGAAAAAGAGCAGTATCGTGAGGAGCTAATATCATGATAAAATATTTGAATTCTGTCCTGGAGGCAGTAAGACTTATTGATGGATTTATGAGAAGTGGAGACCTGGCCATAGGTGTCTGTTATAAAGTATAATCTGTTGGAAGTAGATTGTTGAGTAGAATACATTAAAATTGGAAGAAAAAAAATATCCCATAGGGGAAAAAAAATGTGGGCTGGAACAAAGTCAGGGTTGGATAAATAATAGTAATAAATAAGAGGAGAAAATTTAAGAAATAAGGTAGGACATTCCCTCAATAATATTTTTTAGCCAAATTGATATAAAGGTGAAAAAAAGAGAAGAATATGTAAAAATTACTCTTAACTTTTTGAGTGAGAAAAAACAACTGCCAATGACTAAAACAGGGAATGAATGAGAGGGAACAGATTTTGAAAGAAAATTGGAGTTTACTTCTAAACATTGTTGATTTTCAGTTTCTGTAGCAAATATATTTGCTTATTCCACTCATAAATCTGTTCTCCTTACTTACCTCTATTCCAAAGGCTAAAAGCTAAATATTCAGTTTTGTTAGCCTGCCTAGCAACTAAAGTTATCCAGATAAAATAGTCAAGCCAATGATATGGCCAAAAACATTGCCCCTTCTTATTTCTACCTTCTTCCTGCCCAAAATTTGAGATGTACAGGCCTTTAACGGTCATCTTATAGCCATAAAGTGACAAGCGTAAGGTAGTAAGGCAGATACAAAAAAATAAATTCCTTGGTCCCCGACTCTAACAGTACTGGGGGTGATGAACCTTTTCCATAATTATCTCCTCCATTTCCTTAAGTGATTTAAGCAAACTTGCCTGTTTTCTTGCATCCAAATCCAAGAAGCCCTATCCCTATCCTCCATAGGTATAGGATTTTCTGATGACGATGTCCAGAAGATGCTGAACGGCATGTCTCCGATGCTCCCTCCACCCCTGCCCCAACCACCACCACCAGGATTGCATGAGACTAAAACTACTCATTCTAGTTAGCTGGGACTCTGCCCCAAGTACAATCATCAGCAGGATACCAGACCTTGTGGTTCCCAAATGCTAGTCCTGTTTTTAAGCCTGAGCTCTACTGGCTTCATAAAAAAAAAAAAAAAAAAATCCTGAGAATCTTATTTAAAATTCAGGCTCCATTTACAGTGATTCCCATCTATCACTGGAGTGAAGCCCAGAATCAATCACTCCCTGATGTGATTCTGATGATTAACTAGGTTTAGTCTGTTATGACAGTGCCTGAACTTGGCTAGAGAGTCCCATTTGGCAATTTAATGCTACTTAATTTTACAATCTCTCACATTTCTGCCATTTACAAAGTGCAGCCCCAGCCAAGTGCCAATCTCATCCCATAATGCTTTATGTTTTTCCTCTATTATTAATCTTCATGCTGCTGTGTTTTCCTCCCAAAAATGTAAATATGCCCTCAATCCTTATTTTACTTGAAAAACAAAAACAGAAACAACTCTCTGTGTCCTCATCTTCAAAGAACATACCAGGTGACCTCATCTGAATCCTGGCTTTCTCCATAAGAAAACTACTTCCTTTGCAGCATTCCCAGGAGATGACATTGTTTGCAATGCCCCATAAAAGGCAAAGCCTAAAAATAGGGTTGCAGTTCATCTAAATCCCCAATGTTGCTTCAGCACAAGTATTTATCTTTGAAAGTGTGCAAACATCTTGGTTCATGATATTCAGCTTATTGCCCTCTGTCATACGTGTAGGTCTACTTTCCATATGCATTGATAACTTCAGTCTTAGATTTCAAAGTCCTCCTCTCCAGTCCCAAAGCTTGTCATGTTATATAAATGTCATATTCACGTGAAAGGCTCAGACAATAAATGAGTCTTAACATTTATTGATGCCTCTTCTTTAGTAAATTTCTTCTCCACACCACCTCAAATACATTATGGTTATAATGATGTCTAGAACAATTACCTTAAAAATTGAAAATGCTCATGTTTTTCTACTGGATCACAATTTTCCTTTGAATATTCATCTTTCTGAAATCTCACTTGTACTATGATTGCTTTTGTACTTCTGTAGTGATTTTATAGAGTCTTTTTAAATACTTACTACACATCTGACATTTGTCTTCTGAATATATATGATGGCCCATCTACTTGGTCTTTGTCCCAGTATATAGTTCATGGGTAAGTAGGGAAATGGCTTTGGTTCCCAGAGACAAAGATAGAGAGAAATTTATATCTAAAATGATAGCAAAATCTTATTACAGGCCATCTCAATTCCCAAGCATCACCCAAGCATGTGTGTTTGTAAATTTGTAATGCAAATACAGTTTCAATGGCAGCAACCAATTCCTAACTTCCCTACAGTAGGAAAGTCCAGCCAATAGGTGATTTCCTTGCCTTTTTCTCCTTTGAATGTGATTAGCCAGACCAGCCAATGAATAACACTAGTACAAAATGATCAGGGATCATTTTCTTTGCCAGACCCTGACCTCTGCAGAAACTATAAAATTGAGATATATAAAGACATTGCTGAAGGGATCAGGGTCAAGAACCAGATGTCTCATTAAAACTAAGCTGGCTTTGCTCTGGACCCAGGAATACCATGGAAAGTAACAGAAGAGGGGGTATTAGAGAAGATTTTAAATAACAAAGCAGTCAGCAGTAGAGGCTGCATTGCCTTCAGTTAGCCATATATTCTCTATTGATAAATTGCATCCCTTTTGATAAGTCCAATAAATGTTATTTTCTAATAGTGAAACAGCATTGAGGACGACACTTTAATTATTTACTTCTAGGTTTGAGGCAGGGGTGTTATAATCTGGTCCCTTAAAGTTCTCTATTTCAATTGATATACTTTTAAATGTAGCATATAGTGATTTCTCGCCTGATAAATGCTGAGCACTAAAAATACAAAAGCAAACGAGAACTTTACATGTTCCAGTGTTAGAAGCAGCTGTCACCAGCTTCTACAAAACCCAGGCTTGGTCTATGTGGCAAGAAACATCTATCCATAAGCTCTTATGCTAACAGAAGGGATGTTAAAAACCCAAGCACGGACTGGAGTGATGTTAGCAAGACAACTGACTAGAGACGCTTAATGTATTTTCCCTCCATGAAAAAGGACTAAAACAATGAATAAACAAGCACATTTTGACAACAGCAGCTGAGGGAAAGCACCAGAGTGTTGCAGGGGAATAGCAGTGACCCTGTAGAGCATGGGGACTCAGACTGGATTCATAGAAAATGGAAGAAAATACCCTATCTTTACTGCCCTGTCTCCCCAGTTGGGAGAGGTTCAGAATCAGAAGTAATTACCATTGCAAAGAAAAGGTAAGCAGGAGGCCCCCAGCATCCCCCATCAAAGATCAGTTGCCACAGTTTTTGATGCTACAGAACTCTGCAGTCATCACAGGCCCTAAGCCCAGTCTAAGGTCACTGCCAGAAGTTGACATGGTTATGCTGCTCCAAAGAAGGAGCGCACATTGTGCCTTCTCTTCCCATATCTACATTGCTGCTATAAAGTGCTATCTTGGGACTGGAGCCATGACTAGAGTGCATCTTTCTCTGGGATCCAGTAGCCACTGCATCTCCCCATCCATGAGGATCTGCTGGCACTACACTGTGCTCCCACTTGGTAGTGTGCCATTCTCCATCCAAGAAGCTATAGCTATCTACTTCTGTGAATAAATTGCCAGGAGGCATTCCAGTCTTCAAATTCAAGTGGCTGCAGCACACCATCCCAGCTATTTGAAGCCTATACCTAGTGGTACTGCTGCAACCCCGGTGGCCAAGCTTATGAGATGTCTTTACCCCCAAATTATAGGCAATCTTGCCAACCAGGGAGGTCATGACTGACCCGGAGATAGAGCAGTCCTCATGCATCCTTGTGTGTGAAACAGTCTGGCACCATGAACATCAGCAAAGAAGCCACACCCAACCCGGTAGTGGAGCAGCCCTGACAAACCCTCAATACACGAAACAGCCCAACACTTCTGTCCCCGACAGGGAGGTAACGCTTGACCCAGTAATAGAACAGCTCTCATGCACACTTGGCATTCAGAACAGCCCAGCATCCCCACCCCCAGTGGGGAAGCTTGTCCAAGGAGCTGCACAAACTCCTATAACCTGAGCCAATGAGACACCTTCAGGTATTACTGATGTTGACTACAGCTGAAGAAATTACTCTGAGACTACACTACTGTGCCCAAATGGAACCAAAGTCAGTGTACCCTACCTAACCAATACTCTAAAGCACAGGTGTAGTAAAGGTACCCTATCTAACCAATACTCTAAAACACAGGTGAAAATATTTCCCCCTGAAAGCCATTCTATAAAATTGGAAGGAGCAATTATTCCACCAGTTGCACAGATATCAACATAGGGAAACAAGAAATACAGAAAAGCAAAGAAACATGATACGACCAAAGAAACACAATAACTCTCCAGTACCTGACCCCCACCCAAAATGGAAATTTATATATTGCCCAAAAAGGAATTCAAAATAATAATTTTAAGGTAACTCAATGAGATAAAAGAGAATATACACAATTCAATAAAATTAGAAAAAACGGCCGGGCGCGGTGGCTCACGCCTGTAATCCCAGCACTTTGGGAGGCCGAGGCGGGTGGATCATGAGGTCAGGAGATCGAGACCATCCTGGCTAACAAGGTGAAACCCCGTCTCTACTAAAAAAAATACAAAAAATTAGCCGGGCGCGGTGGCGGGCACCTGTAGTCCCAGCTACTCGGGAGGCTGAGGCAGGAGAATGGCGTGAACCCGGGAAGCGGAGCTTGCAGTGAGCCGAGATTGCGCCACTGCAGTCCGCAGTCCGGCCTGGGCGACAGAGCGAGACTCCGTCTTAAAAAAAAAAAAAAAAAAAAAAAAAAAAAAAAAAAAAAGAAAAAACAATTCATGAGCTCAATAATTATTTGAACAAAGAGATATCATTTATAAGACAGAAATCTTGTAGCTGAGGATATCAACAAATGAAACAAAAAATACAATTGAGGATGTCAGTAACACACTAGTAGAACAAGGATGTTCTGAACTTGAAGACAAGTCTTTGAAATAGCTTAGGAGGGAAAAAAAGAAGAAAGAATGAAAAACAGCAAGCAAAGCCTATGTGACCTATGGGAAACCATTAAGCAGACAAAGTTTTGCATTATACAATTTCCAGAGGGAGAAAAGATGAAGAAAGGCACAGCAATCTTACTTATTAAAATAATAGTTAAAAACCTCCCAAGCCTTGGGACAAATATGAACATCCATATCCACAAAGCCCAAAGTCTGCCTTAGATTCAATGTAAAGATGTCCTCTTTAAGACACATTATAATCATATTACCAAAAGTCAAAGACAAATTGTGGGAGGACAGTAAAATTCTAGAATATTTGCATGCAACCAAATTTAAGTTGTTATCAGTTTAAAATAGTCTTCTATAAGATTTTTTAAATGTAAGCCCCATGGTAACCACAGAGAAAAAAATTACAGCAGATAAACAAATGAGAAATAGAAAAGAATCAAAGCTTACCACTATAGAAAACCACCAAACCACAAAGATAAACAACAAGAGAAGAAAGAAACAAATTTCTACAAAATAACCAGAAAATAACGACTAAAATGAAAGGAGTAGGGCCTTATCTGTTAATAATAACATTAAATGTAAATGGATTAAATTTTCAAAATATATAGAGTGGATGAGTAGATTAAAAAAAAAAAAAAGACCAAATTATATGCTGCCTAGAAGAGACTCACATCACCTGTAAAATACCCATAGACTGAGAAACTAAAGGAATGGAATAAAAATATTTCATGCAAATAGAAACCAAAAGAGACCAGCAGTAGCTATAACTATATCAGATAACATAGACTTTAATTTGAAAACTGAAAAAATGGATAATGATGGTTGTAATATAATGATAAAGGGATCCATTTAGAAAAAGGATAAAATACTTGTAAATATATATTCACCCAAAACTAGACCTCCCAATATATAAAGCAAACATTATTAGATGTATAGAAATAGATAGACTGCAATACAATAATAGCAAGGGATTTTAACTCCCTACTTTCAGCAATGGACGGATAATTCAGACAGAAAATGAACAAAGAAACATGATATTTAAACCGAACTCTAGATCAAATAAACCTAAAATATATTTGCAGAACATTCTGCTCGATAATTACAAAATACACATTTTCCCATCAGCACATGGAATTTTCTCCAGGATATATCAAATGTTAGGCCACAAAACAAGTCTCAACCATTTTTTAAAAGTCAGAATCATAGTAATTATCTTTTCCAGCCAAAACGGAATAAAACTAGAATTCAACAATGAAATGAACTTTGGAAACTATACAAATACATGAAAATTAATCGTACCCCTGAAAAACAAAATAAGCCAATGATGAAATTAAATAGAACATTTAAATATTCCTTGAGACAAATAAAGATGGAGAAACAACCTACCAAAACTTAAGGAACACAGCAAAACCAATTCTAAGAGAGGAGTTTATACCAATAAATGCTTACATCAAAATATTAGAAAGAGCTCAAACAACCTAATGTGTACTTCAAGGAATTAGAAAACACAGGAAGAAACTAAACCCCAAATTAGTAGAAGGAAATAAATAATAAAGATCAGAGCAGACCTAAATGAAATAGAAACTAAACAAAGCAATACCAAAGACAACAAAGCAAAAAGTTGTTTTTTTAAAAAAGATAAACAAAATTGACAAACAATAGCTGGATTAAGGGAAAAAAGATAGAAGATTCAAATAAAATGAGAGATGAAAATGGAGCTATTATGACTGGTTGCACAGAAATACAAAGGATAAAAGACCATTATGAACAACCATAAACTGGAAAACCTAGAAGAAATAGATAAATTCCTGGACACATAAAACCTACTAAAGTTGAAGAAAGAGAAAATCTGAACAGATAGAATCAGTAACAAAATGTCTCCCACCAAAGAACAACCCAGAACCTGATGGCTTCACTACTAAATTCTAGCAAACATTTAATAAATAACTAACAACCTCTCACTCATATGTGAGAGTTAAAAACAAATTGATCTCATGGAAATAGAGAATAGAATGATAGATACTAGAAGCTGTGAAGGGTGAGTGGGTGGGAAGAGAATATAAAGGGAGACTGAATACATTCTATGCATGTAACAAACTCACATGTACCCCATAAATATGTAAAATATTTCACTCATAGAATAAATAAACAAATAAAACCAGTCCTTTTAAAAAAATGAGATTACATCAAACTAAAAATCTTCTGTACAACAAAGGAAACAAATGAGTGAAGAGACAACCTACAGGATCAGAGGCAATGTTTGCAAACTGTGCATCTAATAAGGGGTCAATTCTCAGAATATATAAGAAACTCAAAACAACTCATTTTCAAATAATCAAATTTGAAAGTGGACACAAAACCTCAATAGCTATTTCTCAGAAAAATGACCAATAAATAGAATATGAAAAAAATTATCAGCATCATTCATCCTCAGGGAAATGCAAATTAAAACCACAATGTGATATCATCTCATACTTGTCAGAATGGCTACTATCAAAAAGTCAAAGTTAATAAATGCTGGTTCGGATGTGGATAAATGGGAATACTTATATACTGTTGGTAGAAATGTAGATTAGTACACTCATATAGAACATTATGGAGGTTCCTCAAAAAGTTGAAAATAGAAGTACCAAATGACTCAGCAATCCCACTTCTGAGTATTTATCCAAAGAAAATGAAATCAAAGAGATACGAATTCAATCTCTGTCAAAGAGATTTTTGCATTCCCATGTTTACTGCAGAACTACTTACAATAGCCAAGATATGAAATCAACCTAAGTGTCCATCAATGGACAAATGGATAAAGAAAATGTGGTAACATACATGCAATAGGATTCTTTTTTATTTAACTATAAAAGGAATAAAAGCCTATCATTTGTGACAATATGGATGAATCTGGAATATATTAAACAAAATAAGACAGACACAGGAAAACAAATACCACATTATCTTACTCATCTGCAAAATTTTCAAAAGCCTATCTTATAGAAGTACAGTGTAGAATAGTGGTTACCAGAGGCTGGGGAGGATAGCATGGACGGTGTGTGTATAGAAACTGGTCAATGGGTATGAAATTACCGAGAGATTGGAGGAATAAATTCTGGTTTTCTATTACACAGTATAGTTAACGATATTATATTATTTCAAAATAACTAATAGAGAGAATTTCAAATGTTCTTACTACAAAGAGAAGATAAATTTTTGGAATAACCAATAAGTTAAATACCCTGATTTAATCATTACACAATGGATACATGTATTTAACATCACATGGTATCCCATAAATATATACAATTATGTGTCAATTAAAAATAAAATAAAACTTTTCAAAAACCAAGCACAATATCAAGATCCTATGGTCTTTCTTAAGTAGATGAAGACATCTCTTCTTGTCTTGAAATATCATTTACCACAACAACTATATCTTTGTACCAAACTGAACTCAGAAGCTTTATCTACAAAATACCTTCTTTATTCTGTTATATCATGCCACAATATAACAAAATTCTTAAAACCCTGAAATATATGGGTTTCAATATGACTGACTCTTTTTTATTATTGGATTAAGCCTGGTATTTTATGCTATTCTAATTTTAATATTGAATTGTTTTTGGAATAATATAAATGAAGAATAGAATATTAGTTAATATAATCAAAGGAACAATATAAATAAAAATTTATATCTGATATATGTAGTTTATTGATGTGTCAAAATAGAAAATAGATTATAACTAATACCTCTATTTTGTATCTTTCAGCAGAATAATCAAACCAATTGTCCAAGAAGACAATTTCAAGTCTATGGAGGCTAGTTTTCTCCCAGTCTCCTAGAAGGCACAGAGTTCTCTTGTTAAGATTTAACTTTAGCCGTTGTAAACATTGCTACAAGATTTCAAGTTTGAGACTAAATTATCCCATTCAGTTCTTTACAGCATCAGTCAGTGAAAAACAGCCAAACTTCACTCCCAGTATAGATCCAGTCACTGTTATACAATGTATTAGAACGAAAAATATCCCACATGAAAACATCAGACAAAAATAAACAGCAGATTAAAGTCATCACAATGTTTAAATTGCACTGAAATCTTTAAACACAGTAAAGATCAAAATGAGAGAAAAAGTTCTTACCATTGGCAGGCAAGCAGCCTGAACTGAAAGATATATCATCAATAGCAATGACTTCATCCTGTTCATACGTTGAAGCCATTTGACCTTCAAAAACAACCTGCACCAGAAAAACAAAACAAAACAAAACAAAAACATAAAGCAAGGAACATCACTGTCTCACAGTGTTATAAAAGAGAGCCTGCAATAGGAAGCATGTCACTCTCTAGAAGCACTTGGGTGACCATGCCAATTCCAGGTGCAAAGAAATCAAAGCAAACATTCTCAAAAACAAAGAAATGCAGGGTCATCACTGTATCTCAAATGTCTGGCATAGGATAGGTAACATGATAGTGAAATGCAGCAATACTCACCTAGATTTTTCCCTACAACCATCTCCTATTTTCAGTTCCTATGTGTTCACACTGTTTCGCATTTACCTGCTTTTGGATCCATGCTCCATCCTGAGCTCCAGTTCTTGGCATTTTGCAATTGTGTCCCATCTTCCCCTTTGGTTCTCTAAATCTTTATTTATTTTTTTTTTTTTTGAGACGGAGTCTCGCTTTTTCACCCAGGCCGGAGTGCAGTGGCACGATCTACAAGCTCCGCCTCCCACATTCATGCCATTCTCCTGCCTCAGCCTCCCGAGTAGCTGGGACTACAGGCGCCCACCACCGCGCCCGGCTAATTTTTTGTATTTTTAGTAGAGACAGGGTTTCACCGTGTTAGCTAGGATGGTCTCGATCTCCTGACCTTGTGATTTGCCCGCCTCGGCCTCCCAAAGTGTTGGGATTACAGGCTTGAGCCACCGCACCTGGCCGGTTCTCTAAATCTTATCGACTCTTGCCTTAGATGTCATCCTCATGCTAACCTATTGCACATTTTCTGCCATTATCTAAACATCGACTGGAAATGATTGTTCTGTGACTTATTGTTAAAATGACTGAACGTGGCCTGTCACAGTGCCTCACGCCTGTAATCCCAGCACTTTGGGAGGCTGAGGCAGGTGAATCACTTGAGGTCAGGAGTTCTAGACCAGCCGGGCAAACATGGTGAAACCCCGTCTCTACTAAAAATACAAAAAATTAGCTGGGAGTGGTGGCGGGCACCTATAATCCCATATACTCAGGAGGCTAAGACAGGAGAATTGCTTGAACCGGGAGGCGCAGGTTGCAGTGAGCAGAGATCGCACCACTACACTCCAGCCCAGGTGACAGAGTAAGACTTGTTCTCAAAAAAAAAGAAGAAATGACTGAACGTGACATTAGGATGTGGAGCCCGCCCAAGACACCGCTAAGAAAAGATACTCTGGTATGATTGATCTGAGAAACTTAAAAAGAAGCCAGTCTCCGATTTTCTAATTAACTAAATCGATAGAAAATTGGCATGTTGATGGCAGACATTATCCCACCCTTATTAATGAGTATCACTGATGTTAGAGGCTTTGTTCATGGATGTGATGAACACATGTGCATTATTCAACCTTGTTTACAACATAAACATTTTATTTTTCAAGAAGTCAGCCCAGATTTTTAGGTTTACAATTGATCTGGATGCAGCAAAACACAACAGATCATTTTTCTATGGGAAATTCTTTCATCCCTGTACAATATGCTGTACCAATATATTTCCTTTCAAGCCATATGCTACCTATCACTCTATTAAAAGTCCACTGAGAAACATCCACAACCTATAGAAAAATCTGTCAATAGGTAGTCCTAAGAAAGTCGTATTTTCTTTATACAAAAATAAGTGTAACTACTTAGAAAATAGAACCATTTTGCAAAGGCCTGGCAAAGATTATTGTGTAGAGATAGTTTTATACAAAGGCAGTATAACACAGTGATTAAAAGTATGGCTAGAATCTGAATCCAAGATATAGCTAGGATCTGAAACCAAGTAGTTTGATTCAAAAGATATTTTTTCAAAAAATATATTTTTATATCATATACATAGTTATATAATATATATTATATAATTTATATCATATATCATATATGATATAATAATATGTTATACCATATATATGTTATAATTATATTATAATATAGATTATAATTAAATATAGTTTATAATTAAAACATTATAATATAGATATATGTTATAATTATATTATAACATATATAAATTAACATATATTATATAGATACAGATATTTTTAATCAAACTACTTGGAGATTATATATAATATATATTATATATTAATATATATTAATAAATTTGTAATATATACAAATACGTTATAGATATATCTCCAAGTAGAGATATAACATATTTATATATTATAAATTTATTCTATATGTATCCCAGTTGGATATATAATAATATAATATACATATTATAATATATATTATATATGTGATATAATGTATATATTATAGAATATATATTATATATACATATATGTATAATATACCTATATCTTATATACATAGATGTACCTATAGTATATGTATTGTATATATTTTGCATATGTATATATGTATATATACATAAAATTATGTATTATATATACAGATTATATATAATACAATATACATATTATATATTTTATATGTTATAATATCAATATTATATATTATATAATGATATACATATGCTATATATTTTATATAATATACAAGTATTAATTATATTATATAAATTATATAATATGTAATTATTATATTATATATTATTATAATATATAATATATGAATAATACAATATACATACCCAAGTTGGTTATATATAATATATAATTACATATATTATATATATCCAAGTAGTTTGATTCAAAATATCTATTTATAATATAGATATATGTTATATATTTATTACATATTATATATATTTTGAATATATATATATGTATTTCAAATCAAACTATTTGGATTCAGTTCCTTGGTATAACACTTAATAGCAACAGGACCTTGGAGAACTTATTTAACATCTCTGTACCTCAGTTTTCTTCTTTGTACAATGTAATGATAAAATGATAGCTTACATGATAAGGAAAAATGAGTTGCGAACATGTAAAACAGCACCTGGTATATAGTTAGCATTAAATAATGTTCACTACTGCTATTGTAACATAGTTATTAAAATATTTAAGCTGTTATATGAATTGTGTGTTTGTAGGTAAAAATCTATTCTTTACAAATTAACATTTTATTCTTTCTGAAAGCTTTTTCATAGAGATAGTCCCTAG